>NC_000010.11:17131212-17282727 GCF_000001405.40 Homo sapiens | reverse complement strand
AGAGGTTCCCAAATTTCAATTCTTGACTTCTGTGCACCCACAGGCTGAATACCACATGGGAGCTGCCAAGATTTGGGGCTCACAACCTCTGAAGCAACAGCCCAAGCTGTACTTTAACCCCTTTTAGCCACAGCTGGAGCTGGCACAGCTAGGATGCAGGGCACCAAGTCCCAAGGCTGCAAACAGCCGCAGGGCGCTGGACCTGCCCCACAAAACCATTTTTTCCTCCTAGGCCTCTGGGCCTGTCATGGGGGTAGGGCTGCCATGAAGTTATCTGTTATGCCCTGGAGACATCTCCCCCATTGGCTTGGTGATTAACATTTGGCCCCTCGTTACTTATGCAAATTTCTGCAGCTGGCTTGAATTTCTCCCCAGAAAATAGATTTTTCTTTTCTCTTGTATTGTCAGGCTGCAAATTTTCCAAACTTTTATGTTCTGTCACCTCTTGAATGCTTTGCTGTTTAAGAATTTCTTCTGTCAGATACCCTAAGTCATCTCTGTCAAGTTCAAAGTTCCACAGATCTCTAGTGCAGGGGCAAAATGCTGCCAGTCTCTTTGCTAAAGCATAGCGAGGGTCACCTTTATTCCAGTTCCCAACAAGTTCCTCATCTTCATCTGAGACCACCTCAGCCTGGACTTCATTGTTCACATCACTATCAGCATTTTGGTCAAAACCATTTAACAAGTCTTTAGGAAGTTCCAAACTTTCCCACATCTTCCTTTCTTCTTCTGAGCCCTCCAAATTGTTCCAATCTCTGCCTGTTACCCCATTTCCAAAGTTATTCCACATTTTCAGGTAGCTTTCTAGCAGCACTCCACTTCCGGTACCAATTTACACTGCTATGAAGAAATGGGTAATTTATAAAGGAAAGAGGTTTAATCGATTCACAGTTTATTATGGCTGGGGAGGTCTCCGGAGACTTACAATCATGGCAGAAGGCAAAGGAGAAGCAGACACCTTCACAGGGCAGCAGGACGGAATGAGAACAAGCAGGGGAAATGCCAGATGCTGATAAAACCATCAGATCATATGAGACTCACTCATTATCACAAGAACAGCATGGGGGAAACCACCTCTATGATCCAATTACGTCCACTTGGTCCATCCTTGACACATGGGGATTACAATTCAAGATGAGATTTTGAGTGGGGATACAGCCTAACCATATGACTATCTGTCTTCCTATCCATATATCTATCATCCATCAAATCATCTATGATTTATCAGTCTTCCTCTCTATCTCCCTATCTATCATCTATTTATCTTCCTATGTATTTATCTATCTAAACATCTATCTATATCTATGTCTATCCTCTATCTTCCTATCTCTCTAACTATCTATTAAATCATCTATTTATCTCTCTGTTTATCAAATCATCTATTCTCTCTCTCTCTCTGCCATTGGTTCTGTTCCTTGGAGAACCCTGACTAATACAAACACACATTAATTAAAATTAAGACTCAAAAATATGTGAAACAGAGAGGCAAAACCATCTCTGATATCTTGTCACATGACACTATTTAATTTTGGAGACCTGCTTTTCATATATTTCTTTATATCCATACACATATAGAATGATGCATAGATATTGATATTGTTTGGCTCTTCATCCCCACCCAAATCTCATGTTGAATTGTAATCCCCACATGTCAGGGGAGGGGCCTGGTGGAGGTGATTGAATCATGGTGGCAGATTTCTCCCGTGCTGTTCTTGTGATAGTGAGGTGTTCTCACGAGATCTGATGGTTTAAAAGTGTGGCACTTCCCCCCTCAGTCTCTCTCTCTTCCTACCATGTAAGAAGTGCCTTTCTTCCCCTTCACCTTCCACCATGATTGTGTTTCCTGAGGCCTCCCCAGCAATATGGAACTGTGAGTCAGCTAAACCTCTTTTTTTATAAATTACCCAGTCTCAGAGAGTTTTTTTTACAGCAATGTGAAAATGGGCTAACAGAGATACCATACATATTTTTTAATCTTGGGTCTCTCTCTCTCTCTCTTTCCTTCCCAAACATTGGCATTACTACCATCTCTCTCCACCACCAGAAGAAGCAGGGTACCTTGTGTACCAAGCTACTGAGCATCCTTCTGGACCTTCCTTCATGCTTTTGTACAAGCATAAACACAGACACAATGTGATTTAACTTTTTTTTTTACTAAAATGAAATCATATTATGGAAATTCCTCCATATCTTAGCTTTCTCACTTAATAATACATTGAAAAATTCTTCTGATTTGATCTATTTAGATCTAACTCATTTTAAAATTTTATTTTATAAATTTATTTAAAGTTTTTTAAATTCTTAGTAGGGGTGGGATCTCACTATGTTGCCTGGGCTGCTCTTGAACTCCTGGCCTTAATTATCTTCCTGCCTCAACCTCCCAAAGTGCTGGGATTACAGGCATGAGCCACCATGCCTGGCCATAACTCATTTTTAATAGCTGAACAATTGTACATGGTATGGAGGTATTAATATGTTTTCAGCCATTTTCCTATTGATTGGCATTTTCTTTTCTAAAAATCTCTACAATATTGCTGTAAAATCTCCCTGATCATATATTCCTATAGATTGTTGTGTTTATTTTATTTCCATGGGATGGATCCCTAGAACTTGCTAAAACAAATTACATACACACACACACACACACAACTTGAATTTTAATGGATATTATTGGATTGTTTCTCAATAGGTTGTGACAATTCATACTTCCACCACCAAATATAAGAGAATCTTTTTTTCCTGTGGGCCTCCAGCCATAAGCATCTGTAATTCCCCCTTGTAATTGCCAATATTATGGGGCACAATGATGTCTATTGTTTTAATGTGCATTTCCTTGCCTACCAGGGCAATTAACATATTTTTGCCCTAGTAGTTGTTGCAGATACTATCAGCGTTCTGTCAGGTCCTCTCACTCTTACCTTTTCTGTGAATGCCTGCTGGACTTCCAGCTGCCAACACCTGCATCTCCTTGCTAGAGGGCTTTCCTCAGCTGTGACAATATCTTATACTGCTGTCTTTCTTAATTGTAGATCTTCCATTATCTTGTCCATCCCTTCTATGGTAATTTGTTTATTCATGGTTGTTCCTTCCTCTGGGATCAATAGTGGCAGCTTATATTTTGCTAAAAAAATACACATTTCCTCCAGGTTTTGACCTTTATTTCTACGCATTGTCCTAGGATATTCTTAAAACTATTTTAATGCCTTCCTTATCTACGGTCATGTTTTCTTTCTCATTCCTAAGCTTGTATATTTCTGTCCTCTTTAATTCTTGATTAAACTCATGAAAGTTTGTCTATTTTATTGGTCCTTTGGAAGAACTGGCTTTGGGATATATTTAACCTATTATTACATTTTATTTTTTTGTTATCTTAATTCCTTCTTGTGCTACTTTTTGTTTTTTTATTTCTAATTTCTTAAACCAAGCATTGAATTTTTAAAAAAATTTATTGTTTCTTCTATAATCGTGGAGACATTTGTGCAGAAGGTGCTAACTGCAGGTCTGGCTGCTAAACTCCACATGTTCCCAAAAAAGGCCTGCCTTTACGATCAGCCCTAGCTGGCTCCTGGGAGCTGAGCTCTGAGATGTTGAAATATTCTGCAGGATCAGAGAGTTTTGCATGACTGAGGCCTGGGGCTACCTGGTACTAGTTTAGTCAGATTGTTTATGCTAACAATGTGATTTATGGTGATGCTTATTTTTGCTATTTTTGCTCTGAGAGGCTGAGGGCAATCATGCATGTACTACGTCTATGTTACTGACTCTGCCAATAAAAACCGTGGACACCAAGCCTCAGGTGAGTTTCCCTGGCTGGCAATATTTTGCATGTATAGTCACACATTCTTGCTGGGAGAATTAAATGCACCTGTGTTTCTCTACTGGGAGAGGACATCTGGAAGTTGGCACTTGGTTTCTCCTGGACTTTGCTCCATGACCCTTGGCATTTTGCTGATTTTAATCTGCATCTTTCCCTGCAATAAAGTGTAATTGTGAGCACAACGGCTTTTATGACTCCTCTGAGTCCTACTAGTATATTGACAAGCCTGAGGGTGGTCTTGGGGACCCCCAACACAGCTTTCAAGGTTGTAATCTCCCAATGAGTATAGTTGTCATTGTGTACCAGATGCTTTTATTATTATTATTATTTGAGATAAATTCCTTCCTCTGTTGCCCAGGCTAGAGTACAGTGGCGTGGTCTTGGCTCACTGCAGCCTCCACCTCCTGGGTTCAAGCGATTCTCCTACCTCAGCCTCCCAAGTAGCTGAGATTACAGGTGCGCACCATCACACCCAGCTAATTTTTGTATTTTTAGTGGAGATGGGTTTTCACCATGTTGGCCAGGCTGGTCTCAAACTCCTGACCTCAAGTGATCTGCCTGCCTCGACCTCCCAAAGTGCTGGGATTACAGGCAGGAGCCACCATGCCCGGCCTGTGTGCCAGAGGTTTTAGAATGTAGTGGCCTTCCTTTCACTGGTCTACCTATAGTTGATGATTTTATTTTGACTTTTCTCTTCTATCAAAGATTTAAGTAGAAGTGGATTTATTATTTTCTGAGTAATAGAGGCATAGTTTTATTTTTTGCTTAACTGTATCAGATTATGATCAAGGAATGTGGTCTCTTAAAATTTCTTCTTTTGAAAATGTGTTAGTTTTTTTCTTTGTTTGAACAATTAGCTTCATAATTAAATACTGTTTCTTGACTATTACATGAAAGCAAGATAGAATTCCTATATACTTCAGATACTCTATTTCCCTATTGCTTTTATTCATACACCAGAAAGAAGATAAATTTAGACTACTTTTAATTTTACTTAACTCACTCCCATCCCCTCAAGGCCTAGCTTTTCCTAAATTTATAACTTTTAGTACAAGGCTGTTGTTAGTATTTCACTCACAGTGCATGGAAGAAAGAGGCTTTGTACTCTATATGGATCAGATCTGTCAGAGGCAGCTTAAATCACTTCTATACTGTTGGGAATAGAACTGGTAAGGGAAGAAAAAGCTCTCTAAAAAATAGGAGAACAGGCACAGTGTGGTGGATTCATTATCACAAGGCCAGAAAGTTCACATCCTGAGTGGTAGGTTACTTATCACAAAACTGATGAGTTAATTTACAGCTGAAGTGAAGAAAATCAATTTCCCATAACAAACGTTTTCAAGCTTTGTGGTTAAACCATTATATTTACAGGCCTTGTTGTCAAACACTTACATTCCTCAGGAATTCCTGTTGTTGTTTTTTTCTTATAACTATCAGTAAATTTAGGGACAGTACCTCTAACTGAGCTAGCACACGGTTTGTTCTCCCAGACCATGAATGCTTTTAGTTTCTAGCACTGTTTGTTTGTTTAGAGTGCTCTCGTGGCCACCAGGAAATAAATATTCTTTATCTTTTTTTTGTTATCTTGCTAATGTCAGAAGTAAGAGCTCAGGGTCACAAAGAAAATGAGCAGTAAAACAAAGAATTTCTCAGCAAGGTAAATTTACTTCCGCAGAAGGGTGCTGCTCATAAACCTGGCTGTCACGAGAGCATGCGGAGCAAAGAAGAGTGGGGGTTTTCTTCCTAATGCAGATTCTGCCTCTGTGTCTTTCCCCCCATTGCCTGGGCTTGGACCGCACAATGTAAACTGGTCTCAATTGGGTAAACATTTAAACTTTCTTAGTTAAGGTAGGTGTGTGATAGAGGAGAGAGGGGGAGAAGGAAGGGGTCACCTACAGGGCACTAGAAAGCTAACCTATTCCCACATAAGGAAAGGAATGTGGACTGGGGCTGTGGCATGTCTAAGTATGTTTAGACAGGTTAAGGCGCAGCAAAAGCGGGGGCAGGGGGTGGGTACTTGGAATGAGAGAATAACGAACAGGAGAACTGGGCATGCTGTTTGCAGAGGAACCTAGCCGTATCTAACACTAAGAAAGGCAGTATTAGCACAGCCCTTAAGGACTTAAGTCACCAAATCTAGTTTCCTCACAAGGCTTCTCATCAAATAAAATGGCAAATTAGATTTCTATCACTAAGATCAGCCAAAAAAATTAAATGCATAATTTCTAATTTTTATATTCTACCATTCTCTGTTTAGGCTTAACAATGTATACATTTTTTGAAATGTTCTTTATTGGCCACTATTTAATCTTCTTTTCCCCTTTCTCTGTCCTCTGATATCTGAGATATTTTGTTGTTTGGCTAAAAGTTTTTTTCTTGAATATTCTCCTGGGATGTTCACAGATTATATAGTTTTGGAATTCTGGCATATTTATAAATGTCTTTGTTTTCCTTGATGGCTGAATGATATCTTAGATGGAAACACATTTCCTGGATTTTAGTCTGTGGGTGTCCAAACTCTTCCATGTTCATTCCACAGATAAATGTAATGCTAATCTTATATGTGTATGTATACATTACTAAATTTTATGTCTAGAATGTAAAAATTTATTCTTCATTTTGGAATTCAGCAATTTTGATGAAATGCATAGAGACGCCCCAGAACTCTCAATTATTGAATTTTAGACTCAGTTGAGGTAATAGGCAGAATAGTGGTCTTCCAAAGATGTCTAATCCCAAGAATTTGTGAATATGTTCTATTACAAGGGGGAATTAAGATTGTGGATGGAATTAAGGTTGCTAATCAGATGACCTTGAGATGGGGAGGTTATCCTCGATTATCTAGGTGTGGGAGGCAGGAGGGTCAGAGTCCTGTAGAGATTTGAAGAGGCTCCTTTGCTGGCTTTGAACATGGAGGAAGAGGCCATGAGCCAAGGAATGTAGGTGGCCTGGAAAAGGTAAGGACATGGAGTTTTTCCCTAAAGCCTCTTCAAAAAACACAACCCCACCAACAATTTTCTTTTAGTCCAGTGAGACCTATTTTGAACTTCTGACCTCCAGAACTGTAAGATAATAGATTCGTGCTGTTTTTAAGCTGCTAAATGCATGGTCATTTGTAACAGCAGTAATAGAAATCTCATACAGTTGATCTGGCATCAAGAGGGAAACAAATCCTGCCTAAGCTACTTCCTGTGGGCCTGGGTAGAGGCTTTGCTGACATCCTCCAGGTCTGCTAACCGCTTGCAGGTGCCAAACTGCAGAGAAACAGCTGGAAATTGGAGTCCAGAGAAAAGGACAGGAGGAAAGCACTCTGGAGTCCTCTCTGCAAAATCCTCATTACTTAAGCTTTTCAACCTTCTCTCCTGCCGTTCCCTAGCACCGTATCTTCATGTTAGCCCTGAGCTTCATTTCTCTAGTAAAACCAGGCTACGTACTGTTTTTCCATGCCATTTGTTTGAGTTGAAATATTCTATTGTGTAACAAATGTAGAGGTTGCAGGCAAGAGAGAGGGAAAAAAAAAAACACCTAGATCTGAAAAACAAACAAAACCATTGTCAGGTATTGCTCTTGTTGTCTGGGAGATAAAACCAGAGTTATGGGTCACAGAGATTTTGACATTCCCTGAACTGTGTAGGGTAAGAGAGCCTCTAACTACAGTAAGCAAATAAATTAGTGAGAATAATTAGCATGACTTACAGTAAGACCAGGGTTAGGCTAAAGAAAATAACTGACAAAATAGAGTTAAAGCCATGCCTGAGACTTTCAGTGAGGGAATTAAAAAGCAACAGATCTAATTAAGTAGTCTGGTACACCATTTGGAATTTGGAATTTGCTTGTTAATTAGAAGCCTTGCTCTATTTGGCAATAATTATTGCTGAGTGGAAAACGTATACATGCAGCAGTACTCTTTTTAATGAGGCAATGCACTCTCAAACACACTTCTCTGTCAAAAGTACATATTACCGCAGGCAAAAATAAGATAAAAGGCACAGGAATGTTTCCAGATATCAGACAGCAGTTTAAGAAATGTAAGTAAAATAACATCAAATGTTCAAGGAAAAATAAGCTACCTCGGATTTTGTTTGGAGGGGAGAGGATGGTGAATTGCAGAGGAGAGAAACCCACCAAGGATGGGCTAACACTGGATGATGAAGGGAGATGAGGGTTCTGTCTGAGTCCAAGAGTGGGCGAGAGGTGGTAAGAACAGGGTTGGGGAACTACACAGCCCCTGAGCCCAATCAGCCTGCTCATCATCGCAAATAAAGTTTTATTGGAACATAACTAGCACCCATTGGTTGAGTCATCATCATCTACAGCTGCTTTTGTATTACGGCAGCAGGGCTGAATAGTTGCGGCAAAGACCATATGGCCCCCAAGGTTGAAAATATTTACAGCCTCACCCTTTACAAAAGTAGTTTGCTGAGCCTTGGTTAGAGGAAGGTCTCTGGTCATAGCTCTCCATAGAAGCACTGAGATTAGTTGTGAGGTACATTGGGATTCAGTGGTAACTAATAATAATTTGATGGCCCAAGTTGACAAATGATTCACTTTTTAAAAATTAAAATAGAGCGGATGCAAAGTTATCCCCATGAAGAACTCTCGTATACTTTCCTTGGGAAAGAAAGAGATAATAGGCCAGGTGCGGTGGCTCATGCCTGTAATCCCAGCATTTTGGGAGTCCAAGGCAGGTGGATTGCTTGAGACTGGAGCTCAAGACCAACTAGATAACATAGTAGGACCTCCCCCCATCGCTACAAAAAATGTAAAAATGAGCTGGGCAAGGTGGTGCACACCTGTAATGCCTGCTACTTGGGAGGCTTAGGTGGGGGGATTGCTTGAGCCCAGGAAGTCAAGGCTACAGTGAGCTGTGATTGTACCACAGCACAACATCCTGGGTGACAGAGTTAGATCCTGTCTCAAAAAACAAAAGCAAGAGAGAGAGAGAGAGAAAAGAAGAAGAAGAAGAAAAGAAGGAGGAGAAGAAGAAGGAGGAGAAGGAGGAGGAGGAGAAGGAGGAGGAGGAGAGGAGGAGGAAAGGAGGAGAGGAGGAGGAGGGAAGAAGGAGGAAGGGGAAGGCGGGGAGGGGGAGGGGAGTTACAGCTACCAAGCAGAATTTTATATAGAAAGAAAGAGAGAGAGAAAGAAAGGAAGGAAGGAAAGAAAAAGCGAGTTACAACTAGCAAGCAGAATTCTGTATGTCCAGGAAAGAAAGTGAGTTACAGCTACCAAGCAGAATCTTCTGTTCCCTGGACATGAAATGAGAGTGAGGCTCTATCACGTGACTCACTCTCAGGGTTAATCCCAGCACTCCTTTTGAGTGAGTTGTGTGGTAGACATGACTCACATCTATCATGAATACCTGCTGAAAAAACAAAGTGAAAACTGCTTCCCTAGAGAAGCCTGAATTAAGGGTTTGGGGAAGAGTGTGTGTGTGTGTGTGTGTGTGTGTGTGAGAAAGGTGTCAGTGATGAGGAGACCCAGAGGACCTTTCTTCTTCAGCAGCACAGCCTGGCCTAAACCTCTACAAGGCTCACCCTGCGTCCTCCAGCTCTGATTCAGGGGTCATTCTAGGGCCGCCTATTTGACGGCCCTCCCTCCTGGTTGTCTATCCAAAGGTCAACATCAGGTTTTCCTTTCGATCCACTGAAAAGGCCTAAAGGTGATTTCAGGTGTTCCTTGTATCCTAAAAATGTTCTACTCTCTCTGTTGGAAGTTTAGGGTGGTGAGGGTGGTGGGGAGGTGGGTATGGAGTTGAGGACATAGGATGAGAGGTTTAGAGAAAATGCAACGTGTGATTGAGCAAATACCTAAGAGTGAATCTGTAAGCTACACGGATGAGCTTTGGTCAAGAATTAGGCTGAGGCAGACATCCGGGCCTGCATGACTTAGTGAGTTTAGGGCACAGGCGCAATACTCCACTTGTTATATAACCTGTTTGGGTAAGCTCATACCTGTCTTTGAGCCATTATTCTTTGAAAAAGTATAACTGCCCGGCTGACACTGTGCATATGGCTTGGCTCGGCCCAGCACGGAACGGAATGGCTCGACATGGCTCGGGCGCTGGTGCCCAGAGAGAGAGTAAGGCTACTTACCCCTGTAAGGGAGAGTGGGTCACCTTGAAGGCAGGCAGTGGGGAGCCAGGAACCAGCTTGTGCCCAAAGGGAAAGAGTTAAGCTGCTCTCCCTGTAAGAGAGAGCTGGCCTTGTAGGGCAGAGAGCGCAGCTGCAGGTGTGGGGTCGGCGAGAGCCTCAGAGCTGGAGCAAATAGCCGAGGTAAAGGTGGACGGTGTGAGTACGCTGCCGATGACAGAGCTGCTGCATAAAACCATATTCACCTGCCTACGGCCCCCTGAGTGTTCTTTCAGTTATCTGCCCATCCACCCACTCCCCTCAAACCTCAGCTGGGGCTCACACCTGAAAGAATCGCTTTCTGTTAGTCCCTACTTAACTGATACCATATTCTCTCTGGTTTGGGGAGTGGAAGGAGGTGGAAAGAATAATAGCAAAACGGTCTCCTAAAAACTAGAACGTCACAAACTTTTCCCAAGGCAGACCTGGGAACGTATTGAAGGCAGAGACGGGATCTGCAGAGAGAAATTTTGAAGCTCATAATTTTATGAAATGCTGAGCTATTTGCCTTCAATTCGACCAGGAAAAACAGAAGCTTTATGTCAAAATATGTCATTTTTTTCATAAAGCAGACCCCTGCTTTAGATTACATAGAAAGATACTTGAGTTTGTCTTGATTACTTTAGTCTTTTTTTTTTTAAAAAAATCATAAATGTAAATTCCATATGCTTTAAAGGTTGGGACTTTATCCTATCTCCTGTTAAATGCATCTGTTCTAGTGCCGGATAGCACTCAATAAATGAGTTGATTGCAATTAATCACAGACACTTCACAAACGGTCATTTAATAAAGTTGAGCAATGCTTATCCAGGTGTTTAATATGGAGGAGTGATTTCATTCCTGAAGGTGGGGGAAGAAGCTAGTGCTTCATTTGTGAGATCTGAAATGTTTTCTGATGTCTACCACCATAAATGTATTGTTCCAAATTCCCCCTTACACTCATGGTCTCGGAAAGGAAATAGAAAATGCGAAAAATTCACCATATATATATGTGTGTGTGTATATATATATATATATATATACACACACACACATAGATACACATATGTGGGTATATATATATATATACCCACATATGTGTATATATACATACATATGTATACATTATAGATATATACCATGTATGTAAGTATACCGTGTGTGTGTATATATATATAACATATATACCATGTATGTATACAATAGAAATAGAAAATGGGAAAAATTCACCATATATATGTATATATACATATATATACACACATACATAGTATATAATTTAAGCACCTGGAGGGCAGAGTCTTTATCTTGTTCACTGTGTATCCCTAGCACTTAAAATCTTATCTGACACACAGAAGAGACCAAGTTTTTTCTTTTCTTTTTTTGTTTTTCTTTGTTTTTTTGAGATGGATTCTTGCTCTGTCGCCCACCACCGCCTTGGCCTTGGATCTGCCCGCCTCAGCCTCCCAAAGTGCTGGGATTACAGGTGTGAGCCACTGCGCCTGGCCTGTTTATTTGTTTTTGAGACAGGGTCTCTCTCTGTTGGCAGGCTGGAGTGCAGTGGTGCAGTCATAGCTCACTGCAGCCTCAACCTCCCAAGGTCAAGCGATCCTCCCACCTCAGCCTCCCAAATAGCTATAGTAGCTAAAAGTACAGGTGCACAACACCATGCTCAGCTAATTTTTATATTTTTTGTCAAAACAGGGTTTCACCATGTTGCCCAGGCTGGTCTCAAACCCCTGGGCTCAAGTGATCCTCCTGTCTCAGACTCCCAAAGCTCTGGGATTCCAGGCATGAGTCATTGCACCTGGCCAAGGCTAAGTACTTTTAAAATTGTACTCTTAACAGACTTTTTTTCTTGTGTTGCTGTAGTTTTAACTCCTTAAGTCAAATATTCTGATTTCTGAATGTCTTTCTGCAACCACAGGGAGAACTTTACCAGATATTATGCAGATCAAATTTAAGATGTGAATAAACAAGAATAGAGAAGTAGACTTCATATATATTTGATTTCTCAAGAAAGTGTTCCTTTACTTCCCTTGCTTTATTCTGTCGCATCTTATTTATTTTGCTTTATCAATTCAAAGATATCATCTCAGTGTTTATTTTCACAAGGGGAGCCTGTGAGGTTGGGGGAGCTACTGTTTCTTTAGGGAAAAAGAAGCAGTGGTCTGGGCACGGTGGCTCATGCCTGTTATCCCAGCACTTTAGGAGGCCGAGGTGAGTGGATCACTTGAGGTCAGGAGTTCAAGACCAGCCTGGCCAACGTGGTGAAATGCCGTCTCTACTAAAAATAAAAAAAAATTAGCTGGACGTGGTGGCAGGCGCCTGAAATCACAGCTACTTGGGAGGCTGAAGCAGGAGAATCACTTGAACCTGGGAGGTGGAGTTTGCAGTGAGCCAAGATGATGCCACTGCACTTCAGCCTGGGTGACAGGGCGAAACTCAGTCTCAAAAAAAAAAAAAAAGAAGAAGAAGAAGTGGCAACTATAATAACTACAATGTACTCTTTACACAGCAAGGTCTTTGTGTAAAAAGAGGGCATTTACGTAAGTTTGAGGTAAATATAAAAATAACTTCCTCAGGCTTCCAAAACCCTTCACTATGCCCTATATTCTCTCTTTAACCAGAAATGAATAAAAGTGAAATCTAGAATGAGGTTAATATTTTAGAAGTACTGTGATCCCATCTGTTTGGT
The DNA here is from genome assembly GCF_000001405.40 of Homo sapiens. NCBI lineage: Eukaryota > Metazoa > Chordata > Mammalia > Primates > Hominidae > Homo > Homo sapiens. The sequence goes on along the minus strand of NC_000010.11, from coordinate 17,270,105 downwards.
AAGAGAGAAATAATATAACCTTCACATTTTTAAAGTTCTTTCAAGAAGATTTGAAGTAAGTACAAGAAGGAATATAGGTTCATAACTTTGATCTACTACAAGTCATAGATATTTTAGGTTTCTATAGGAGGGATGGTGTGCGCCATAGCTGAGCCTGGTGTACATCATTCTTTTATAGCTATACATAGTGTTCATTTGCCTTCAAATTTGAGATATCCATTAACCTGAGGTTTCTATATTTATGTTTCAAGATAGCTGGAAAGAGCAAGAATCAACAAAAGGTGATGATTTAATAGGGGACAATTGTGTCATATTCTTAGACTAGTGAGTGGGAAGACTTCAGATTAGAAAATAACCAAAAGTAAGACTTTATTATTATTATTATTTGAGAGGGAGTCTCACTCTGTCACCCAGGCTGGAGTGCAGAGATGGGATCTCGGCTCACTGCAACCTCTGCCTCCCAGGTTCAAGTGATTCTCCTGCCTCTGCCTCCCAAGTAGCTGGGACTACAGGCGCACACCACCATGCCCACCTAGTTTTTGTATTTTTGGTAGAGGTGGGGTTTTACCATGTTGGCCATGCTGGTCTCAAACTCCTGACCTCAAGTGATCTTCCCACCTCAGCCTCAAGACTTATATTATTTTAACATTGAATTAGAGACTATAGGGTGAATTTTAAGGAACTGAATAAAAATTATCATTTTCTTTAATAAAAAAGTTGTATGATGTTTATAATCCTAAATAAAAGAAGGTTACACTGTTATTTTGAGTTTTTCTGTTTGACGATCTTCAACTCACTTATTTCTGGAGTATCAAAATAAGGTGGGAACTGGGTCCTACCAAGCTGCTGGGCTTCTCTATTTGAAAAAAATGAAGAGTTAGAATCATCAAGTTCATGTCATTCACACTTTGAAGTTATTTTACATAAACTTTAAAGTTTTAAAAAATCACTGTAAATTGAAATAGAGCCCAAGGTTAAGAAAGCAATTAGCGGGTTTGGAGGAGAGGCAGGAAATAGCTATTTGACTGAGCCAGTTTCTGAATAATGCTATAATTTGGATTTAATCTTCTGGCCGTGTGGTTTGTTATGCAGTCCGCTTTAAGACTTTCTCAAAATATTGAATACTTTTATGGAGTTCTTGATTGCCAACTATAGATTATATCATGCTAACATAGTTTTATTTCTCAGGTTTTAATGAAACTCTTATTCTTAAAAGAAAAATTCAGCATATTGATTCTTCTTTACTCATGTAATAAGCTCTGCAATATCATAGTAAAACACACTGGCTTCATTTTTTATGTTAGTAGTGTTTTGATATAAAATTCCTGTTAATTTTCCAGCTAATAGAACAGCAGTGTGTTCTGATTCAAATTGAGACTGGCCAGCTTTGTTGTGCGTATTTGATGGAAAATAATTGCCCTCCCTGCATGTCACCTAGCTAAATGGATTTTATCTCATTTCTGAGACGTTTTATATACCATAATCACATGGAACTTGAAAGGGACATGAAAGCTTGCCTGTGCTGGCAAATCTCACCTTATTTGAACCATTATTATGTGTTAATTTCCTTCTGTGAGTTTTTGCTCTGCCATTGATTATAAATCGGAGTCTATTTTTTCCAATGTATTAGTCATCAATACTTATGACATTTATAGATGGGTGGAACGTGGTAATTTTCAGTGATTTTTCATATACCTTGTCCCATTTGGCCCAAGGGGGCATTCTTCTTCATTTTGCAAAAGGGAAGGCCACAGCTCAGCAGGATCAAATGGCTCCAGGTAGACCCACAGTGGATGAATGACAGAGCCAAAAGCTGTGTTGTATTTCTGGCCTTGAGGATTGGTAGAGCTGTCTCACTCCACATGGGATGAGTTTTTAAGATGTCCATCATAAAATGCCAGCAACAATAATCTATGGTAATCATCATAGATGTTGGATTGAAGCTTCAATTTTCTAGAACCACTGCCTCTAAAGGAGCTCTAGTGTGTCCTACAAAAGGGTTCTATTTCATCTTTTGGTGTACTTCAGGAACTAGAAGTTTTCATACTAGAGATTCTCCAGAGGATACTGAATTATTTAAACTACTGAAAAGCTACCCTGAGAAGAGTGAGGGAACCACTTGAAAGATTATTTTAATGTAGAAGGATAATGGAACAATTTGCTGAGTTTTAAACCACCACATTAGCAAGCCAGTTGCTAAGCTAATTACGCCTCCAGCCCCATGTTGTGCCACTGAAAGCTGAAGTCCTCAACCAGTTGCCTCATTTCCATTCTCCTGTTTTGAGAGCCTGCATTTCTCCCAATGAAGAGGTAAACTGTTTCTTCTCTGGGAAAGCAGGGGGCTGCCTGACATTGACTTTCATGCTGCACCCTTTTGTGCTTATTATCCCGTAAAAGGGAGTCCCTGTCTCCTGCCACTGAAGTGTACCTAACACCTGGATTGTTGTGAGACGTGCACACTTTGCCTAGGTGAACTGTGAATTTTTGCAAAAATGTATCACTATTATAAAGGGCCCTGCCCTACACTGTTGTTCATCACATGCAGGATGTATAGTAAATGTCAGCTAATGGAGTAATCATTCGTCTAAGACTTTCCAGCTCCTTTTCTTAAGCTGGCAACACCTGTGCTAGGTGCTTTTATGTGTGTTTATTTTAAAAGAGAAGAAGGAGGCTTAAAGGGGAGAGCAAAGAAGCTGGCAAGCACCAGCTTAAGAAAAACGTTAGCAATTAAGATAGTGGGAGAGGCTGGGTGTGGTGGCTGACACCTGTAATCCCAGCGCTTTGGGAGGGCAGGGCAGGTGGATCACTTGAAGTTGGGAGTTCAAGACTAGCCTGGCCAAAATGGTGAAACCCCGCCTCTACTAAAAATACAAAAAAATTGGCTGGGTATGGTGGCACGCATATGTACTCCCAGCTACTTGGGAGGCTGAGGCAGAAGGATCACTTTAACCTGGGAGGCAGAGGCTGCAGTGAGTCAAGATCATGCCACAGCACTCCAGCCTGGGCAACAGAGAGAGACTCTGTATCAAAAAGGATAGTGGGAGATAGGGTGGGGCACAGTGGCTCACACCTGTAATCGCAGCACTTTGGGACCAATCCCACATTTCCCTTCTGCACTGCCCTAGCAGAGTTTCTCTATGAAGGCTCCGACCCTGCAGCAACTTTTTGCCTGGACATCCAGGAGTTTCCATACATCCTCTGAAATCTAGGCGGAGGTTCCCAAACTTCAATTCTTGACTTCTGTGCACCCACAGGCTGAATACCACATGGGAGCTGCCAAGGTTTGGAGGTCACACCCTCTGAAGCAACAGCCCAAGCTGTACTTTGACCCCTTTTAGCCACAGCTGGAGCTGGCACAGCTAGGATGCCGGGCACCAAGTCCCAAAGCTTTGGGAGGCCAAGGCCAGTGGATCACGAGGTCAAGAGACCGACACCATCCTGGCCAACAGGGTGAAACCCCATCTCTACTCAAAATGCAAAAGTTAGCTGGGTGTGGTGGTGCATGCCTGTAGTCCCAGCTACTCGGAAGGCTGAGGCAGGAGAATTGCTTGAAGCCGGGAGGCGGAGGTTGCAGTGAGCTGAGGTTGCGCCACTGCACTCCAGCCTGGTGACCAAGGTGTGAGCCCCAAACCTTGGCAGCTCTTATGTGGTATTCAGCCTGTGGGTGCACAGAAGTCAGGAATTGAGGTTTGGGAATCTCCACCTAGATTTCAGAGGATATATGGAAACTCCTGGATGTCCAGGCAAAAAGCTGCTGCAGGGTTGGAGCCTTCATAGAGAAACTCTGCCAGGACAGTGCAGAAGGGAAATGTGGGATTGGTCCCAAAGTGCTGAGATTACAGGTGTGAGCCACTGTGCCCAGCCCTATCTCCCACTATCTTCTTGGATACAGAGTCTCCCTCTGTTGCCCAGGCTGGAGTTCAGTGGCGCGATGTCGACTCACTTCAGCCTCTGCCTCCTGGGTTCAAGCGATCCTCCCACCTCAGCCTCCGGAGTAGCTGGGAGTACATATGTGTGCCACCACACCAAGCTATTTTTTTTTGTACTTTTAGTGGAGGCGGGGTTTCCCCATTTTGGCCAGACTAGTCTTGAACTCCCGACCTCAAGTGATCCACCTGCCTTGGCCTCCCAAAGTGCTGGTATTACAGGCGTGAGCCCCCTCGCCAAGCCTATCCCACTATCTTAATTGCTAATGCTTTTCTTAAGCTGAGACTCTGTCTCAAAAAAAAAAAATAGTGGGAGATACCCACTGTGGAATCCATGCTGCAGTCTACACAAGTAAGGTCAAGAGAAGCCAACTCAGGCTACTTTCTTCTTCCAAAATAATGGTTTGTTTAGTTATCCATTAGAATTCTTTCTACAACGTGCACCTCCATAAGAAATGACTCTCCTTAGTATTTCTGACTCATGAAGATACATCTCATGGAACTCGTGCCTTGACATGAATTTCTAGGCAATATCAGCTCTGAGCTTGGCTACACCCCAGACTTTGCAGAGCAAAACAAAAGCAAAAATAAAGGAGGCAGTGGGGAAAGAATTCCTTGAATAATCCATATCATAAACCATCACACAAAAACCACACTGAACTTCTTTGAAGCCTGAAATCTCTGAAGCTGACCAGTAGATAATTAGATATTTACATTCTCTAGAGTTCTAATTTAAAGCAGAAATGATGGCAAAGAAATCAGATGAGACAGTTTGCTAGTTTACCAGACACAAAAACCGTGTGTGTGTGTGTGTGTAAAATCTTATTTTCCTTTCTGAAAATCTGGAGCAGATTTTTTTTTCTTTTGAGATGGGGTCTTACTCTGTTGTCCAGGCTGGAACGCAGTGGCATGATCTCAGCTCACTGCAACCTCCACCTCCCAGGCTCAAGCTTGAGCAGCTTTTCTGAAAAGATCACTCACTCCTGATAAAATGAATTTCCAGGAACCACAGTATAAGATACATCAAGTCCATAGAATCCATAGATGGACTACTGTTAACCCTCAGATCAGAGTCATAGAATTTAGTCTGCCTACTAAAGAAAAGAGAAGAGGAAGCAAAGCAACACCTATTAAGCCCTCGTTTGAGGCCCTCCCTGTGATAGGTGCTTTTATTTGTGTTTGTTTTTAAAGTGAAGAAAGATGCTTAAAAGGGAGAGCAAAGAAAGATGACTTAGAATAACCAGAGTGCCAGATGCTTGCTTTGAGTTTACAGCTTGACTCTATCACAAGGTAAAGGATATAACCTTAAACTAGAGAACACTCTTTCATAGTCTCCACTCTAAAATACAATCTCTATTTAGACAACTAATGGTCCTTAAAATGTCTCATCAAGGAAGCTGTGGAACACGTCTAAAATGTAGAGTTGTTTTTCCTTTCTTTTTTCCAGGTAATAAACACTCGACATTTAGAAAATGCAGTTCTAAATTTACGAAGAACACCACGTTTTCAGCTGTGCTCACAGTCACACACGTAAATATTTCTTATTAAACAGGCTTCCATTTATTACTGTGGGAGTTACTGTCAGCTTTAGAAAGGAAGATTACTGCCTGTAATCTCTCTGTCTGTAAATGGAGAATAAAGTGATATTCAATTTAAAATTATGGAAAGAGAGATAACTACTTTGTAATTACTTACCCTGCCTTTCTTGGTGACTCATGTACCTCGCACAATTATGAATCATGGTTTAAATTGTATTCCCTCAGATCATCACAAGAAGGTTGGCAGTAGCTTTAGCAAAAAAAAAAAAAAAAAAAAAAAAAAAAAAAAAAAAAAAAAATGCAGGCTTGGTTCATCAGGGTCTTAGTGGCAAGCCAGATGTTATGGGAAGTCAGGGATCCCGAATGGAAGGACCGGCTGGAGCCATGGCAGAGGAGCATAAATTGTGAAGATTTCAGGGACATTTATCACTTCCCTAATAATATTCTTAAAATTTCTTACGACTGTCTTACTTTAATGTCTTAATCCTGTTATCTTCGTAAGTTGAGGATGTACGTCACCACAGGTCCACTGTGATCATTGTGTTAACTGTAAAAGTTGATCGTAAAACATGTGTTTGAACAATGTGAAATCAGTGCACCTTGAAAACAAACAGAATAACAGCGATTTTAGGGAACAAGGGAAGACAACCATATGGTCTGACTGCCTGTGGGGTCGGGCAAAAAAAACCATATTTTTCTTCTTGCAGAGAGCCTACAAATGGACGTGCAAGTAGAAGAGATATCGCTAAATTCTTTTCCTAGCAAGGAATATTAACATTAAGACCGTAGGAAAAGAATTGCATTCCTGGGGGGAGGTCTATAAACGGTCACTCTGGGAGTGTCTGTCCTATGCGGTTGAGATAAGGACTGATATATGCCCTGGTCTCCTGCAGTACCCTCAGGCTTACTGGGATTGGGAAACCCCACCCTGGTAAATTTAAGATCAGACTAGATCTCTGCTCTCGAACCCTGTTTTCTGTTGTTTGAGATGTTTATCAAGACAATACGTGCACAGCTAAACATAGACCCTTCTCAGGAGTTCCTGATTTTGTCCTTACCCTGTTTCCTCAGAAGCATGTGATCTTTGTTCTCCTTTTTGCCCTTTGAAGCATGTGATCTTGTGACCTACTCCCTGTTCTTGCACCCCCTCCCCTTTTAAAATCCCTAATAAAACTTGCTGGCTTTCAGGCTCAGGTGGGCATTACAGTCCTACTGATACGTGATGTCACCCACAGCGGCCCAGCTGTAAAATTCCTCTCTTTGTGCTCTTTCTCTTTATTTCTCAGACCCGCCGACACTTAGGGAAAATAGAAAGAACCTACATTGAAATATTGGGGGCGGGTTCCCCCAATACCACAGACTCCAACTCTAGCTATCTTGAACTGCATTTCCAATTTATTGGAATGAGATGGCAGATGGACGACCAGGCTTGGAAAAAACAGCCAAGAAGTCTGGGGAAGCTAGAGAGCTGGAATCACACAAAAGAGCACGCTGTGTCTAGTCCATAAATCATCAACCATGTGGCCGTGAACATGAACCTCAGACATCTCTCTACCTTCCTAACACTCACTGAAGATTTGAAGTCCAAGGAAAGAGTCCTCCATCCCTGACTGCTTTGTGGTAGAAAGAGGAATTGTCTGTTACTTAGATTTCAGTAGAAAGACTTCCACACTATGGGAGATTTCCTAAAAGGGAGAATAGGGTACTAACAGGAGAATAGTGTTGCTGTTGGACGATGCTTTGGATGACATTATATGCTCAACATTCAAGGACAAGCTTATCTAAAATAGAGAATATAATATATTCTTATATTTAATCTTATCTCTTGTTATAAGTAAAATGTTTATTCAGAAACAGAATGCTTGTTCCTCGGTACTGCAAGGAAAAATCACCATTCAGCCAAAAAGTTTTCTCAGCAAGGCAAATTTACTTTCTGCAGAAAGGGTGCTCCTCGCAGATGGAATAATGGCGAGAAGGAGGGAAGCAATTTTTATCCCTTAAAGTGCTTGCCCTTGCTACTGTGTCCTGTCTCCATTGGCTGGAGCCAGACCACACAATCTAAACTGAACCTGATTGACTAACAACTTAAAATTTTCTAAATAGATAAAAGCAATGTACAACAAACGAAAAGTGGAAGTTGTTTATGAAAAGACTTAGAAAAGTAGTAACATTCCTAAATAAGGAAGGGGTATAGGCTGCGAGCTGGGACATGCCTGTGAGCATGTCCAGCACAGATATCTTGGTTAAAGTACAAGGACATAGAATGTACTCATTCCTTTATATCTAACAGCTACATAATATAGGGCTTAAAAACGAGTTATTAGTGTGAAGCAAGGAGGTTTGAAGAAAGTTAGTCTTTAAAAGAAACTATGATTTCTAACACTTATGATTTATTCTTTAACAAGAAGGGATAATTTGAAGAGGAACTTTTTGCTTTCTACATCTCTCTTCCTCTGGCAATGAACACTGTTAAATCAAGTTTAGCCTAAAGTTACCTCCCTACATATTTTAAGTTCAGCCTAAAGGTTTCTCTGTACATAGTGAACCATAACCTAAATGGAATTGTAAACAGACTGTAGCCTACTCTTGCGCCAGTCACCAAGTTTTGCCAATCACATTGGCCAACTGTTCAAACCATGTTCAGATAAGGCAAATGCCAAGCAACAACCAATCTGGCTGTTTCTGTCCCTCACTTCCATTTTCTGTATGTCATTTTCCTTTTTCTGTCCATAAATCCTCTTCCACCACATGGCTGTCCTGGAGTATCTGAGCTCACTCTGGCTCAGGATGCTGTCTGAGTCATGAGTTGTTCTTTGCTCAATTAAATTATTTTAAATTTAACTTGGCTACAGTTTTTCTTTTAACCCCACCATCCCTACCACCAGTTTAAAAGCAAAGAAGACTATTGGCTATGATCTAGTTCAAAGTCCTCCTTCTACAGGTAAAGCAAGAATCTGAGATAACCATGGTTTTGCTCAACATCACCGGTGAAAAGTAACAGTGCTGGGCCTTGAACTCATTTCTTCTGAGCCGATATACAGTGACTTTTTCCGTCAATCATGCTCAAGTCTCAATCACCCAATAGTGGTAAAAACACAGGGCATTTTCACCAGCCCAATTAAATACTACTTTCTGCTCCATGAGGCTCTACCATAAGTTCTGTGGGAGGGAGAATATCTTTCACTGCGAACTCCATGGTCTTAAAAAAGTTGCTTAATTTCTCTGAGTTCCTGTTGCTTTGCTTGTAAAATACATAAATAAATAAAAACACACTCACCCTTCCTACCTTACACCATTGTTTTACAAAATGATGATGCTAATATGTAAGGAAAACATTTGTATACCGTAAAAAATTATCCGTGTGTAAAAATACTTTAAAATATCATTTAACTAATTACAATAATTAAAACATGACTTTGGGCTGGGCATGATGGCTCAAGCCCATAATCCCAGCACTTTGGGAGACTAAGGCAGGCAGATCAGTTGAGATCGGGAGTTTGAGATGAACCTGGCCAATTTGGTGAAACCCTGTCCCTACTAAAAAATACAAAAATTAGCCGGGCGTGGTGGCACACGCCTGCAATCCCTCAGCCTCCCTCAGCTCCTCAGGAGGCTGAACCAGGAGAATCGCTTGAACCTAGAGGTGGAGGTGGCAGTGAGCTAAGATCACTCCACTGCACTGCAGCCTGGGTGAAAAAAAAAAAAAGCAGGAATCTAGGTAGAGGAGTCAGGGGAGTCTAAGGAGCTACCGAACCTAAGTCAGAAAACACTATATCAATATTAATATCCCACTGTATTATGTAATATCCCACGGTGGCTTATGCCTGTAATCTCAGCACTTCGGATCTTGTAGATAACCTGAGGTTAGGAGTTCAAGACCAGCCTGGCCAACATGGTGAAACCCTGTTTCTACTAAAAATACTAAAAACTAGCCAGGCACAGTAGTGGGTGCCTGTAATCCCAGCTACTCGGGAGGCTGAGGCAGGAGAACTTGAACTCAGGAGGCAGAGGTTACAGTGAGCTGAGATTGTGCTACTGCACTTACAACCTGGGCAAGAAGAGCAAAACTCCGTCTCAAAACAAAAACAAAAACATAAACCAAAAAACCCACTGTTGTTAATAGCAACTAATTTTGAGGGCTGATTGCATAGCAGGACTTGACAGAGTTTTCTAATCCTCACACCGCCTACATTGTCATCTCTCTATTGTGCAGATGAACCCTGAAGCCCAGAGACACTATATAACCCAGCCCAAAGTCCTCCACCATTCTGGTGGTGGAACTAGGATTTAAACCTGCATCTTACTTCCTGCAAAACAGCATTCTGTGCTGTTCCACTGCTTTCTCTACCACACTCTTCCCCAAAGCCATAGTGCTATACTTAAAAATTAAGGGATGACTCTTGCCTGTAGTACCAGCTAATTTGGAGACTGATCGCTTGAGCCCAGGAGTTCAAGATCAGTCTTGGGAACACAGAGAGACTCTATTCTCAAAAAAAAGTGTGCTGGGGAGAAATAACAGCTGCATTATTTTGTCTAAAAATAATTATAATACAATCATTTATTGAGCAGTATATGTGCTAATGTGTTATCTGTATTATCTCATTGAATTGTTCACAATATTCACAATATACTCTGAGAAATCTGAGGCCTAGAAAAGTTAAGGAAGTTGTCTATGACCTGGCAGATGGCAAGTTACCGAGTCAGGATGCAAATTCACCTGTGACTCCAGATCCCCTTAGCTTAATTGCTTGCCATTGCCAGATTCTACAGAAAGCCTAAAGCTGAAACAGAATAAATTAACTACTGGGATTTCATTCTGTCACCCTAGCTGGAGCAACCATGAACTTCTGGGCTCAGGCGATCCTCCCACCTCAGCCTCCTGAGTAGCTGGGACTACAGGCATGCACCACCACACCTGGCTAATTTTAAAATTTTTGTAGAGATAGGATCTCGCTACATTGACTAGCCTGGTCTCAAACTCCAGGGCTCGAGTAATCTTCCCACTTCAGCCCCCCAAAGTGCTAGGATTGCAGGTGTGACCTACCATGTCTAACCTATGGGGGCATTTCTGATTCAGAACCCAAACACCTCTTCTCTATCATGATAAGTAGAATCTGTATATTGGGAATGGGTGTGAAGTAAATTTTTAGTATTTATTTATTTATTTATTTGGAGAGAGAGTCTCTTGCTCTGTTGCCCAGGCTGGAGTGCCGTGGTGCAATCTCGGCTAAGTGCAACTTCCACCTCCCGGGTTGAAGCGATTCTCCTGCCTCAGCTTCCCGAGTAGCTGGGACTACAGGCACGTGCCACCATGCCTAGCTAATGTTTTTTTGTATTTTTAATAGAGATGGGGTTTCGCCATGTTGGCCAGGATGGTCTTGAACTCCTGACCTCAGGTGATCCACCCACCTTGGCTTCCCAAAGTGCTGGGATTACAGGTGTGAGCCACTGTACCCGGCCAATTTTTAGTGTTTCTACATTAGGCAAACCCATCTTTCCTGGCAATTTTCTTATGTACACTTTGTTTATACTTTGAAACAACTGAAATTTTGAGAGCTATTTCCCCTCACATAGGAAGCCAATTGACAGGGGCCACCTCAATGCTCTTGACCTCTAGTGGGGATTGGACCCCACAGATTCTTGCTACTCAGTGCTGTCCCAGGCCAGCATATCAATATCTCTTGGGAGCTTGCTGGAGATGCAGTATCTCAGGCCCCGCCCTTGGCAGCTGAAACAGAACCTTCATTTTAACAAGATTCCCTAGTGAGTCGAGTGCAAATTAAAGTTTGAGAAGTACTCTCCTAAATCACAGCTTGGTCAATCAAGAAGCAAGTGGTCCCAGGATGTTTCTATCCTTTAAATGTAACAACAATCCCATTACTGAGTTTTTTTGTTTCTTTTATTTGTTTGTTTTTGTTTTTTTTTTGAGATGGAGCGTTGCTTTGTCGCCCAGACTGGAGTGCAGTAGTGCCATCTCAGCTCACTGCAACCTCCACTTCCCAGGTTCAAGCAATTCTCCTGCCCCAGCCTCCTGAGTAGCTGGGGCTACAGGTGCATGCCACCACACCCAGCTAATTTTTGTATTTTTAGTAGAGATGGGGTTTCACCATGTTGGTCAGGCTTGTCTCGACTACCTGACCTCAGGTGATCCACCCGCCTCGGCCTCCCAAAGTGCTAGGATTACAGGTGTGAGCCACCGCGCCCGGCAATTACTCAGTGTGTAATGTGAACCACAGGCACTTTGAGTTCGTGGTCTCTAATTACTGACAGAGTCATTCAGGGCAGGTATCCTCAATTCTCATTTCCAGCTGAGAAAGAATGAGATTTGGGAGACAAAGTAACTTGGTAGAAATTACACAGCCAATAAATGAAAGTTCCTGGATGTGAACACAGGTTTATCTTCTGACTGAGCAATATTGCTTCCCATTCTTCTTGCTGTTTTTCAAAGCACCGTTTTTGATGAGGTAGGTCCTGGGGTCATAAAGAGAAAGGAATTTTGTTCATTTTACTCTTCCCTGGACTGTGTGAAATATTTCAGGTACAGAGACTAAGTCAATGATTATCTATCTGGTGGATTAAAGAACAGACAATTCAGAAATGCTCTTGATGGTCATAAGTTAATTTTAAAAATTTATTTAGAAGGGATCCTCAGGAATGCCTAATTGTATCCACTGGATTTTAATACTTTCAATTCCGTGCAACTAAATGTGGCCCTTGGAAAAGTCCTGTGACTTCCGAACCCACCAGTAGATGTCAGTATTTCTTTGGACACCACAATGGCCTCTCAAGTTTTTGCCCTACCAGGCTCTTCACAAGATCCGTTGTGTCTGAAGAAGGAGCGGCGACTTTTTGTCTACATTTTTACTTGGTTGGAACAATCTTCTGAGATATCTTCAAGGGTGTTAGTGACCCCAAGGCAGTACTCTCTTGCCCTCTCTCTCTCCCTGTCTCTCTCTGTCTCTGTATGTGTGCGCCTCTTTCCTTCTCTTTCTCTCCCTATTTCCTCTCCCCATACTCCCACACTGACATTTTTTAATGAAAAAGATGATTTTCTCCCATGAAGATATTTCTGTGCAGATGTTAGAAAAGGACATTCGAAGACACTAAAGTCAGATTTTGTCAAGCCCTCTGGCTGGTAAACCAAGCAGATCCCACTCTCCAGGAATGAAGCAACTATTACGTTGGGGCGAAAGTTATTGCTATTACTTTTAATGGCAAAAAAACACGATTTTTTCCCCCAACCTAATACTACCATGCTAAATGCCAATTCAAAAAGGATTGCCCTTTGAAGAAAAAAAGGCAGAAGTAAGCAGGAAGGATAGCTCACTTGGAGTATCATCCGAGTTAGCTTAGGTAAAGACTGTAGCTTTCTACTAAAGCGTAATTTATTTCTCAAAGAATATTTTATATGCAACTATTTTCTGGGCTCTGTTCTGGAGCTTTATTAAATGTGTAAGAAGGCTGAATAATTGATCAGGTTTACCAAAGACTACAATTTAAGCTGACAGGCATTTGATTTTAGATGCTGGTGTCTCATTTGTGTGGCTTTTTCATGCATCTGCCAGCAACGGGTATGCTAAGACAATTATGTTCTTCCCACTGGACTGCTTTTTCTTGTCTCCTTTCCAGAACGATCCTTCTATTTTTTTTTTAGAAAAAGCTGTGCTTTAGGTTAACCACATAAAATTATTTGACAGATATCTGAAGAGACTCACTTTCTTTACAAGAGAGGTTAATAGTAGCTTCTCAGTAAGGAAAAAAAAAACGCTGAGAGGGATTAAATAAGAGAAATGCTTTCTGAGTCATTAGATGCTAGACAGGTTAAAATACCAGAAAAGTACACTGTAGCATTCAATTTGGCACGAGGTAATGACTTAATGATTTTCCCGATTTCTGATATTCGGTGTGGAACACTTAAGCCTTTCTGAGGCCTGATTAGCAAACAGTTTTATTTCCCTTTGCAGAAGAGGATGTAATCAGTTGTTAGGTGGACAATTCAGAAGTGCTTTAGGATTTTTCACACTGCCGGTTTTATAATTTAGCGATTATGTAGCTTGATGGTGAGAGTCATTACTTTCAAGAAGTTTGGAAATTGAACTAGTCCAGTGTTTCCCAGAACCTCATCTATTTACAAGCTAGAGAGTTTTTTTTTTTTTTTGCTATTAATACTCTATAGTGGTTGAGGACATATAGTGTGTAACTGCATTCAGAGCCCAGCTTTGTAATTTACTAGCCAAATGACCTTGTCAATATTACTTAACTTCTATAAACCACAGTTTCCTTATCTGCAAAATGGGGGTGATAATGCTTTATTTGTAGGATGATTGTGAAGTGTCTATAATGTTATTAGTTCTCTATCCCCATCCTCCACTCTGAGGACTGGTTTTAGGTATGTATGGGGGAGGCTGGCCTACCACAGATTTTATCTACTCTTTCAAAATAATCACAAGTTATGCACATACTCTGTGCCAGGCAGTATGAACTGAACACCGAAGATACTCCAGTGAACAAGACAGAAGAGGCTTCTACTGGCATGAAACTTACATTCTAATGGAGGACACAGAAAATTATAAAGTAAACAAACACATAAATACGGAATAACATAGATAGTAATGAGTGTGTAGAAGAAAAGTAAGGTAGGATAAGGAAACAAAGTAAAGAAGAAGATCAAGGAAAGTTACTTTGAGTAAATGACTGTGTTAGTCCCTTCTCACATTGCTATGAAGCACTACCTGAGACTGGGTAATTACATAAATTACCTAGTATAAATTTATAAAGAAAAGAGGTTTAATTGACTAACAGTTCTGCAGGAAGTACAGGAAGGTGCCTGGGGAGGCCTCAGGAAACTTACAATCAGAGTGGAAAGGGGAAGGGGAAGCAAATATTTCTTCACGCAGCAGCAGGAGAGACAGAGCATGAAGAGGGAAATGCTACACACTTTTAAACAAGCAGATCTTCTGAGAACTCATTGTTACCACAAGAACAGCAAGGGGGAAGTCCGCCCCCATGATTCAATGGCCACCTACCATGCCCCTCCTCCAACACATGAGGATTGCAATTTGACATGAGATTTAGCTGGGGACACGGAGCCAAACCATATTAATAACATTAAAGGAAAACAATAATTTTAAAACTTTAATTGGGCCTTCGTGTAGCTGATGAGGCCATCAAAGGATGGCTGGATATGTAATCAGTTTCTTTTCTCAAATGCAGAGAGAGCCAAGGCACAGTCTGAAAAATGAGAATGAACACATACACTGTTCTGTCTCAAAATGTAATATTTTCTCCTCATTGGAGGCTCAGAGGAATCTTTGCAGATTCTGCTGCATTTACGGAAATATTCTTCTTTAATAATAATTAGTGTGTGGCCCTGATGACCAAACAGATGACTATGGAGGTTCAGAGCTCCCTTTGAGAAATGGAATACAGCTGATTGACAGTCTCAAGCTGTCATACCCCTGCATTCTTTCTGAACCAATTATACCACTAGGCTGTTCCCACCCAATGACGTAGCCGGGCATGTACACTGGCATAGGACCATTTGCCTGTTGAAAGATTCCTCTAATGGGTAACTTTTGTTCAGGACACCCCATAGTCCTAGCCAAGACTTTTCTTAGAGAAGCTCTGTAAGCTCAGACTCTTCCAGATCAATTCTTCCTTTTTCCTCTCCTTTTACAGATATAAAACTTACACTGTGATCTGAAGGCTTGTCCTGCCTACTTCTTCTCCAGCTTCTTTTATCTGTCACAGACTGTATTAGTCTGTTTGCATGCTGCTGATAAAGGCATACCCAAGACTGGGCAATTTACAAAAGATAGTGGTCGAGTGTACTTACAGTTCCACGTGGCTGGCTTCACAATCATGGTGGAAGGCAAGGAGGGGCAAGTCATGTCTTACATGGATGGCAGCAGGCAAAAAGAGAGCTTGTGCAGGTAAACTCTCATTTTTAAGACCATTAGATCTCATGAGACTTATTCACTGTCACAAGAACAGTACAGGAAAGACCTGCCCCCATGATTCAATCATCTCCCACTGGGTCCCTCCCACAACACATGGGAATTCAAGATGAGATTTGGGTGGGGACACAGCCAAACCATATCACAGACATTTCATCCAATAAATCTTTTGTACATATAATCCTGTCTTGGCTTCTACTTCTTAGAAGACCTGAACAGACACAGTTGGAACCAGGAGTGATCAGAGAAAACAGCTAGTAAGATAAGGTCTGCAGGCCTGGACTGATGGTGGAGGATGGGGTGTCACTTAACCATTAGAAGCCAGGGAGTCACGATGACCATAGTGACCAGCAAGCTTGGAAGAGCAGCCAAAGAGTCTTGGCCTACAGAAAGTTGTGAAGATGGTTAATAGAACCTAACTCCTTTAGGGGAAAAATAGACAGTCAACCAGCAAGGGGCCTTCTTAATTTCTACAACAAGAAAAAAGGCAAGAATGGAGGAGCAGAAAACTAATGGTGATCACCCAATAAAAAGTTTTCATACCTTGCTCAGTTCTCAGACTTTACTCAATTTTCAGATCTAGAAGCTATTGGCTCAAGAGGTAGTTGGAGCCCTAAGAGAAAGAACTCTGCAATGCTGCAGCAATAATTCCTGTAATGATTCCCAAGACTTTTCTCCAGACAGATCTGTAGCTGTTTACCTGAGCAACTGTTCACTGGGGTAAGTGGAATCTCTAGACCTTTTGGGGGACTTTTGAACACAGGCTCTCAACTGATTATAGTACCCAGAGATCTGAAGCAACACTATGGCCCCTCTGTTAGAATGGGGGATTTGGGGACAAAGAAACAAACAGGGTTCTGGGTAAAGTGTAATTCAGAGTGGGCCCACTGGGTGCATAGACAAGTCCACTCATCATTTTTCTAGTCGGCAAGTGTAGAGTTGAAATGAATGTACTTGACAGCAGGAGTATCCCCACCTTGGGACATTAGCTTACGAGGTAAGAGCTATCACAGTAGAAAAGGTCAAGTAGAAGTCTGAATCTTGCCCCCTCCATGGTCAAGATAGTAAATCACAAACAATATCACATACCAGGGGGTGGCAAACATAAATACCATCATTAAAAACCAAAGGAATGCAGGAATGGTGAGCTCTGTCCTATCTCTGTTCAATTCACCACTGGCCTGAGCCTTGCAGAAACTGGCTGGATCTAAGAAAATGACTGTAGACTAATGATGCACACTCAACCAAGTAGTAGTCCTATTTTGGCTGCAGTGCTGAAAGTGGCATTGCTAGAACAGATTAATAATGTCTCCAGTAAGAGCGTGCTGCCATTGATTTGGCAAATGTGGGTTTGTGTGTGTGTGTTTTTTGGTTTTTTTTTGAGATGGAGTCTCATTTAGTCACCCAAGCTGGAGTGCAGTGGTGTAACCATGGCTCAGTGCAACCTCTACCTCCCAGGTTCAAGTGATTCTCCTGCCTCAGCCTCCCAAGTAGCTGGGACTACAGGCGTGTGCCACCATGCCTGGCTAATTTTTGTATTTTTAGTAGAGACGAGTTTTGCCATGTTAGCCAGACTGGTCTTGAACCACTGACCTCAGGTGATTCGCCCACCTCGGCCTCCCAAAGTGCTGGGATTACAGGCATGAGCAACTGCGCCCAGCTTCTATTCTTATCAGAAACAGTTTGCATTCACGTGGAATGGACAGGAACATTCATTTACAGTTTTGCTCCAGGCTTCTGTTAATTCCCCACTCTCAGCTGTGGTGGAATCCAAGGAGATCTAGACCTCCCATAGAATATCATATCCATTCCCCATATCAATGCCATCATACTGATTGAGCAGGACCAGGAAGAGATGGCCAGGACACTGAAGGCCTTGGTAAGAAACATGCATAGCAGAAGGTGGAGGATAAACCCTGTGAAAAGTCAGGGACCTGCTGCTTTATAAAGTATTTAGGGGTCAGAGGTTAGGGAAATGCCTGGCTATTCCCTCCAAAGTGAAAAACAATTGCTGCATCTTGCATCCCTTTCCCCAAAGAACAGCACACAGCCTGTTAAACCTCTTTGGAACCTTCTTGGTTTATGGAATGCTGCTCTTGTCCATACACCAGCTAACACAGAGGGCTGCCTGCTTTGTGAGTCCAGAGCAAGGAAGGGCTCTGCACAGGTCCAGCCCATGGAATGAGCAGCCTTGATTCATTGGCCATAACGTCCAAGGAAGGACTCTGCAGCAGGTCCAGCCCATGGAATGAGCAGCCTTGATTCATTGGCCATAACATCCAAGGAAGGGCTCTGCAGCAGGTCCAGCCCATGGAATGAGCAGCCTTGATTCATTGGCCATAACATCCAAGGAAGGACTCTGCAGCAGGTCCAGCCCATGGAATGAGCAGCCTTGATTCATTGGCCATAACATCCAAGGAAGGACTCTGCAGCAGGTCCAGCCCATGGAATGAGCAGCCTTGATTCATTGGCCATAACATCCAAGGAAGGACTCTGCAGCAGGTCCAGCCCATGGAATGAGCAGCCTTGATTCATTGGCCATAACACCCAAGGAAGGACTCTGCGCAGGTCCAGCCCATGGAATGAGCAGCCTTGATTCATTGGCCATAACACCCAAGGAAGGACTCTGCAGCAGGTCCAGCCCATGGAATGAGCAGCCTTGATTCATTGGCCATAACATCCAGCTGACGTTTTGATGTCGGAGGGGTCCTCGGTGAGAAAAGATGTAGTGTGTCATTTATAGAAAGTCCAAACAGGAAAAATACTATGCAGACCCCTGGATTCTGAAGGAAGGCCATGTCATCTGCAGAGAATCACATCATTGAGGAATAGTTACCGTTACTGCATCTTACTAAAGATGAAAATGATACATCCCAAGTTAAGCCTGAACAGGGCCAGAGAGCACAGGTAAGCTGCAGGATCAGGCAGCCCAGAGGTCCCCAAGTCACCATCCATGGTTGCATTAATCCCCCTTCCCCAGCTCACACCCGTGGCCCTATGGGGAGAGATGCCACACAACCAGATGAACGAGGAACAACTTGAGTTTGGTTTATATATGGGTTGGCTCAGTTTGTGGGTATATGATGAAAATACCTGGTGGTTCCATTGCTGACATATTCAGAGGTGGCCTTAGAAGATAGTGGGGGCTGGCTACAGTGGCTCAGGCCTGTAATCCCAGCACTTTGGTAGGCCGAGGTGGGCAAATCATCTGAGGTCAGGAGTTCGAGACCACCCTGGCCAACATGGTGAAACGCTGTCTCTACTAAAAATACAAAAATTAGCAGACACGGTGGCACGTGCCTGTAATCACAGCTACTCAGGAGGCTGAGACAGGAGAATCGCTTGAACCCAGGAGGCAGAGGTTTCAGTGAGCCAAGATTGCACCACTGCGCTCCAGCCTGGGCGACAGAGCAAGACTCCATCTCAAAAAGAAAAAAAAGATAATGGGGAGGGGAAAAAAAGTTTCCTAATGAGCAGGATGCAAGTGGTGTTTCTGGCATAGAAGGAGAAGGAACCCAAGGTAAGATTATATAGATATCCCTAGGCTGAGACGAACAGCATGGCTAGCGGGTCAAAGGCCTGTAAAGAAAAGGACCAGACCATTAGACACAAGGAGGGCTGGGGTAGAGGCAGGTGGATGGACAAAATGGAGATGCACAGCAATGAAAACATTAACATGTGATCCAAAAAGTTTTGTACACAAAGTTTTTGTATCACATGTTAATGGCCACCAGAGAGCATCCCACCACAGAAGTCACACTGAACAGTCAAGTGGACAAAATGACACAGCCAATTAATATTAGCCAGCCTCAGCATTGATCTCTCTGGAACTGGGAAAATGAGCATAAAAATGGAGTGGGCATGGTAGCCAACCAGAGGCTACACATGGGCCCAAAGCTATAGACACCCATTTCCCAAGGACAGGCTACCTACTGCAGGCACTGATTATTAAAGTCAAGCAGGCCTGCCCGCCTCTGGGCCACGTGATAGCTTTGCACTTAGTATGCATAACCAGAGACCCCAAACCTCTCTATGTTCTCTGAGCAGCTGGCTTGATTCCACAATTTATCTTCTCTAGCTTTGAAGACAGTAGTCCATCCTTAGCAGAAATCCATTTACAATGTATTTTTAGAACATCCAAAAAAACAACATTTGAAATTCAACTTTGTGTCATTCTAGTAGGCTCACATTTTATAACCTCAAACTTTATTTGCAGAAACCTATTAAAAAGAAGGTCCATTAACAAAATTATAAGAATGCAGAGTTGCTTTGGAATAGGCCACCTTGTCGTTTTTCTGATCGACCTTCTTTAGATAGTTGTTGGCATTACCAGGTCCTGCTTTTGTTGTTGACTTTAGCACAAACGGTAAAATCTCATCCACACAGTATTGTCAAGAGAACTTTATAGTCAAGCCAAGAAATGTCATTAGCTCATGGTACTGAAAGCCAGGCATAGGTCTGAATATATCAAATTCTTGAATACAACAGACTGGAACTGCATGGGTGACATTCTGTTTTCATTTTCTCCATCAGTTTGAGGCAAAAGAACTCAAATGGTAACTCGTGGCTTGAAAGGTGACTACTCACAATAGGCAGAATGATTTGCTAAAGCACATGGCATTTGGAACAACAATTGTCTGTACCTGTCAAACCCCATAGGGAGAAGCATTTTGAAATGTGTACTGCCTGGAGTGGATTGCATTGTTTCATAGGCAGTTCATCCTACCTACCACCTGGGGACAACGTCAACCTATCCATTTCTTTTTTTCCTCACAGTAAACCGATTTATGATCAGTGAATCACAGAGGGGAAGAGAATTTATCTGGAGGTGGTAAGGAGAACATTCAGTTATCTGACTACACCCGTAACCCTACATACACTGGATTCTACAATGGTAATTTATATTATCCATATTTAATTGGAATTCAAAGATAAGATTTGTGGGGTGAAATTGGCAACAAATAGAAAGAGAAACGTTTTTAAGATTGTCAAACATAATATGGGCTTTCCAGAATTAACTTCAGACTATGAATTTATCTAAAATTAATTTTGTTTGTAGTTGGTGGACAATTAGGTATGAAATCTGTGTATTGTCAAAGAAATCCTTGAAAAGTCATAAAGGGACATTAAAACCATCCATTCATCATCCTTTTTCCTTAAAGAAGGAACACATTTCTTCAGGTCAGAAGACAGGGGACAGAAAGAGAATGTTGGTACATGTTACAGAAAACTGTCAGAAAAACTTTTGGTTATATAATGCTGGCATCTCCCTTTTAAGGGTCCTCCTCGAGGTAATTTTCTAATTAATGCATGTTACAGCAATGCTTGCTCTATCAAAAATAAAATTTCATACACATGGGTTCATTCTTGAGTGCTTTATTATGTTTCCTTGGTGCCTGTTTCTGTACCAATCTACACTATTACATTTTACTACAGCCGTATCTAGTAGGATGTGTTTTTCTATCTTGATATTCTCCTTATCTTATCCCATTCTCACCTTATCTCATCTTACCTTACCTTATCTTATCTTATCTTGTCTTATCTTATCTTATCTTGTCTGGGGTGTCTTATCTCCTCTTGGCCTTTTGCTTTTCTTTATACATAATTTACCTGTAAATAGTTTTGGATTTTCCAAATAAGCAATAGTATCATTTGTAATTCATGACATTTTAATCTCTTCTATTACTATGCCTTTTTTTTTTTTTTTTTTTTGAGATGGAGTATTGCTCTATTGCCCAGGCTAGAGTGCAGGGGCACAATCTCAGCTCACTGCAAGCTCCGCCTCCCAAGTTCACGCCATTCTCCTGCCTCAGCCTCCTGAGTAGCTGTGACTACAGGCGCCCACCACCATGCCTAGCTAATTTTTTGTATTTTTTAGTAGAAATGGGGTTTTACCGTGTTAGCCAGGATGGTCTCCATCTCCTGATTCGTGATCCGCCCACCTCAGCCTCCCAAAGTGCTGTGATTACAGGTGTGAGCCACTGTGCCAGGCCACTATGCCTTTTAAGTCTTTATTTTTTTGAGACAGGGTCTCATTCTTTCACCCAGCCAGAAATGCAGTGATATGATCATAGTGCACTGCAGCCTCAACTTCCCAGGCTCAAGCCATCCTCCCACCTCAGCCCTACCTGCACTGAGTAGCTGGGACTACAGGCATGGACTACCATGTCTAGTTAAATTTTTAATTTTTTGTAGATATAAGGTTTCACTATGTTGCCCAGGTTAACCTCAAACTGCTGGGCTTAAGCAATCCTCCCACTTTGGCTTCCCAAAGTGCTGGGATTACAGGGATGAGCCACTGTGCCTGACCTTTTTTTTTTTTTTTCCTGTGGTACAATATTGGATAGGAGTGGGGATGGATAGTGGGTATTCTTTTGATCTTATAGGGACTAGTTATATTATTTCAGTATTGTTTTTTATATTTACTCTTGGTTTCTTTCTTTTTTTTTTTTTCTGAGACAGGGTATCACTCCCTCACCCAGGCTAGAGTATAGTGGCACAATCTCTGCTCACTGCAACCTCTGTCTCCTTGGTTCAAGTGTTTCTCCAGCCTCAGCCTCCTGAGTAGCTGAGATTACAGGCATGTACAATCATGCCCAGCTAAATTTCTTTTGTATTGTTAGCAGAGATGAGGTTTCACCATGTTGACCATGCTGGTCTTGAACTCCTGGCTTCAAGTGAACCCCCACCTCAGCCTCCCAAAGTTTGGTTTCTTATAGATCTTTTACCAAGTTAAGAAAAGTCTTTATATTCCTATTTTTTTCTTAAGTTTTCATAATGATTAGATGTTTCAACATGATTAGGCAGATCATGTTACAGCCTAGCCAATACACCACAATGTAGCAGTCTCTCGTTATGAGGTTTCGCCTGGAGTTCTTTGTCTCATGACCAAGAGAATTAAGGAGTGTGGACACAAAGGGTGAGGTTGGAGCAAAAGTTTAATAAACAAAAGAAGAAAGCGCTCTGCTGTGGAGAAAGGGCCTGGAAAAGGGTTGCCATTTTTACAATTGAATGCAAAAGCTTTTATAAAAAACCGATGAGGGCTAGACATCTCATTTGCATAAGGTGTGGATTTCTGGTAGCTCCACCCTGTCCTCCTAATGCACATGCAGGCCATTAGGTTGAGTTACTCCGTATTGTTTTGTTCCCCTTGGTGTGCACATGTTAGGGGACAGAATTTTCCATTGCAGGCATGTCTGGACAAGTCACCTGTGTAGTGTTTCTTATCTGTGTGGCTGTAGGCATGTCTCAAGCAACCCCCTTGTTCAAGTTCCCTTATCTGTGCCTGCAGCTTGAGTTTTCAGGCTGTTCTTTTGTTTGAAAAAATTCAACTGAGGACCCACCCTAACTGCCTGCCTGCCAGGTTTTTTCCTTTTTCCCCTCTCCATCACATGATTTTCTGCTTTAATTTTTTTTCTTCCTCTCTTTTTTTTTTTTGAGCTAGGGTCTCACTCTGTTGCCCAGGCTGGAGTCTACTGGTTCAATCATAACTCACTGCAGCCTCAATCCCTGGGGCTCAAGCAATCCTCCCACTTCATCCTCCTGGGTAGCTGAGACTACAGGCATGCACCACCATGCCCATCTAATTGTTTTTTAAATTATTTTCTTCTTAATTTTTTTTAATTTGTTGCACAGATGAGGTTTCACTATATTGCTTAGGCTGGCCTCAAACTCCTGGGATCAGGTGATCCACCCACTTCAGCCTCCCAAAGCACTAGGATTACAGGTGTGAGCCATTGCATCTCACCATTTTTTTCCTCTAATTTCTTAATGTATTAAATTGTGTACATCAATTTTGAATATTAAAATAATATTACTTTTCTGAGCTATATCCAACATGCATATTATCTTTATACACTGATAATACATTTAAACATCTTAGAATATATTGCTAGATTTGTGTAGTGGCAAGGAAAATAGATCATGAACATCTCTTGTTTCAGGGAGCATCATTAACTGACAGCTCCACTTGCCACCCTTCTGGATCATCACTACATCTGGGTCAAAAGCATGCTTCCCCCAGCCTCCTCCCAACCAATGACTGCATGTGGTAAAGATTATGATACTGACCCATTCTTATGGGACATAAAATTCATCTAAACTGTGACTGACTTAAGGACCCCCTCATTGACTTGGCCAAAATTTTCTTGAGTCTGCCCTGCAATCCGAGGTACTCCTATTCCTCCATCCTTCCCTCTCTCCTTTCGCTGGTGTAAGAGTTAAATTAAAACCTGAAGTCTTACCTGCCTACTCCTACTTCTTCCCATTTATCCTTCTCTACAAGTCTCTTGTACATCTAAGCCCACTTTTTGCTTCTCAAAGAACCTTAGCCAACACAATTGTTTTGCTGATACTTCATTAGGATGTTTGCCTCAATATCCCTGAATAAAGTTAGGCTGCAATTTTCATCTCCTGTTGCATCTCTGTATAGTTTTGGAATTAAGGTTATGCTACTGTTTTTGTTCCCTTCAAAATTCACGTTGAAACCTAATCCCAATGCAGCAGTATTGAGAGGCGTGGGCTTGAGGGGGTGATTAAGTCATGACAGTTACACTCTCATCAATGGGATTAGGTTTCTTATAAAAGGTCTTGACAGAGGGAATACAACCCTTTTCACCCCTTCCATCTCTTTTGCCATCTGAAGACACAATATTCCTCCAGAGGGGAACATTACAGCAACAAGGCACCATCTTGGAAATGAAGAGCTGACCTGACCAGACTCGGAACCTGCTAGCGCCTTGATCTTCGACTTCCCAGCTCCAGAACTATGAAAAATAAATTTCTGTTCTTTATAAATTACCCAGTCTCAGATATTTCATGACAGTAGCACGAATAGATTCACAAATATAGTAAGTTTGATAATGTTTCCTCATTTTCTGATCTGGAAGCATTTGACTTGACTTTGTATATTAAATGCTTGGCAGAACTTGACTTGACTTGATGGTAACGAGACTATTGAGATTTTTCTTTCTTTCTTTCTTTCTTTTTTTTTTTTGAGACAGTTTTGCTCTTGTTGCCCAGGCTGGAGTGCAATGGCGTCACCTCTGCTCACTGCAACTTCTGCCTCCCGGGTGCAAGCAATTCTCCTTTCCCAGCTTCCCATGTAGTTGGCATTACAGGCGCATGCCATTAGGCCCAGCGAATTTTTGTAGTAGAGACGGGGTTTCACCATGTTGGCCAGGCTGGTATTGAACTTCTGACCTCAGGTGATCCACCCTCCTCGGCCTCCCAAAGTGCTCGGATTACAGGTGTGAGCCACCGCTCCCAGCCTATTTAGATTTTTCATATCTTCTTCAGTCAGTTTTGATTGAGACTTCTTGTTTAAAAGATTTATGGTGTTTCATTAACCTAGTTGAGCTACCCTGCAATAAACTCTTCTTCAGTCAAGGAGCACACCAAATGCATGGTACTTTTGCACCATCATAAAGTGGAAAAATCATAAAGTAAACAATAGAAGAATAGGTTGTATCTATGGTAGATTGTATCTGCCAAAATTGCACACAATCTTATCTCATCTCACATGCTCTTCTGTAGTGTGACCTTGCCACTCTCCCATGAAGAAGTGGAATCTGCTTCTCTATCCTGGAATTTGGGTGGTCCTTGTGACTTATTTGACTGACAAAATATAATGGTAATTATCCTGTGCCATTTACAGATGCAACCCTTATCAAACCTGGACATTACTGCTTTCTGCCTCTTAGCAGTGAGTCACAATGCCAGAAGCATAAATAACCTGAGATCTTGCTGTGAGATGCCTAGGCCCTGGATTCTGAGATAATTAGTAGAAAGTAAAATAAGTCAAGGAGCACTGAAGAAAGAGACAGAAGAATGAAGAAGACATCTTACAAGTCCAGTACAGTTTGCTTCAGATAACCACAGCTCAGCTGCCATCTCATTGTAATTGCATGAACATTCCCTAGTAAACTCTCCAGCTGAGCCAACTCACAGAAACATAAATTGTTGTTTTAAGCTGCTGAGTTTTGCAGTTCGATGTTTCAGAGTGGCAATAGATAACTGGAATGCAAATGCTATTCAACTTATGGTAAGGTTACCTCCCAGTAAACAAATCTTAAGTCAAGGAGCATACTCAATGCATATCTCTTTCACACCATTGTAAAGTGGAAAAATCATCAAACCATTGTAAGCTGGGGATGTCTGTACCTCTCCCCTCCATAAAAACAACTATAGTATTTGGAACACACACACACACACACACACACCCTGCCCCACCACACACACACCCCTACCTGTTTGAATGCCTATGAAAGCAAACAATGCAGTCCTGAATTGAGTTGGAGAGTTATACTCCTTGAAAGAAGAAAAATATCCAAGGTAAAATTCATGTTTGCCTGGCTTTTCCCATGAGGGTAATTTCCAAATGAGGGAGAGAGAGCTCAAACATAAAATGGAATTCTTATTGGGCTTAGGGGACAGGAATTCATTCCAATTATTGGCCGTCTCCTAAGCTGCATGTTCAGGAAGAGGCTCCAAGAAACACAGCAGAAAACAGCACCCAGGAAGCTAAAAGTTGGGCAGAGATTTCAGCACCTGAGTAGTGTTGGAGAAACAGAAGTTAGAGTTTAGCTCTGCCAAGGTGGAAGGGCTTTGATAAACGCACGCAGGTTGTAGTTGAGGCCGAGAAATAGCCCACACTAGGGCTAAAGAACGCAGTTGGGAAGTAAGTACCAGTACTAAGATAATGTTAAAATAGACCAGCCCTAACAAAGGCTAAAACTAACTCTGGCCAGGATCGAGGTAATGCCTGGTTCTCCCTTTGCCTGTAAAAAAGAAAACTTTTCTTGTTCTTTAGAGGAAGAGAACATCATCCAGGTCCTACCTAAGTATCCATTTAAAAAGTCCAGCATTAAGGAGAAATTATGAGACATGCTAAAAAATAAAAAAAGAGAGACCAAATGATCATAACAAAAACAAAAGATGGATAAATGTAATTCACATGTTATTCACATGTTGACATTAGCAGAGAAGGACATTTAAGCCACTATGAAAAATAAATAAATAAAATAATATAAGTACAATTTATATAATTAACAACATAAAGGAGAAGATAATAGAAAAAATATCTCATATTCTGGAGAGACAGAAGCCTATATTGAGTTATGAACAGCATCAGGACTGGAATCTACTGTCTGAACTCCAAGGACAGAACTTGACCCTCCTTCAGGTTACCTTGCGTCAAGGAGAATTGAATTGAACTGAATTGACCTGGTGGTCTGCTTTGCCACATTTACCAAGTAAAACGGGTAGGCCGTACTGGTCAATATTCCTGGAGAAGATAGCTGTTATATGGGGACTGGAATTAATGGATTACAGTTGATTTAAGAAGTAGACAGAGCTTGCCTGTAAGCATGTCCTGTAGGCTTTACTTGTGCTGTATAGCTTTTGTATGTACTATGTACAGTTAAACATATATAGTACACCTCATGCATTTTCCTTATGTTCTCTGTTCTTTCCCACTAGGCTGATAGACTGTGAACTCAGTAACGGAGGAAACTTTATCATTGTACAGCCAGCACCTAGCATAGTGCCTGATACATACAAGAAACTGAAACTTCCTAAGAAATCGGCCTTCTGGTATTGTGGAATGAGAAAAATTTTCACTTGCGGGTACCCTACTTATTGACTCTTCCAAGGTCTTTGACGGCTGCCTGCTCACCTCCTACAGTGCCCTAAAAGAAGTATTTGCTTGACATGAAAGATCTTTGTAGAAAGACTCCATGGAACTGACCTCAAACTGCCCTGACTCTAGACAAGGGACCAAAAAAAAAAAAAAAAAAAAATGGAGAAGCTGGGCAGTCACAAATGATCAACAAATCTGTAAGCCATGCATTCCCTATCAATGATTTTGCAAATTTACAGCTTTTGAAAATCTGTATCACAGACCTATTGTGAGTACAGACAAGGAGAGTGTTTCCCAATGTTTAGTGGTGATCCTAGTATGAGCTGAAGTGTGTTTCCCCAAAATTCATATGTTGAAGCCCTAACCTCCAGTACTTCAAAATGTACTGGAGGGCTGGGCATGGTGGCTCACACTTGTAATCCCAGCACTTTGGGAGGCCCAGGTGGGCAGATCACTTGAGGTCAGGAGTTCGAGACCAGCCTGGCAAACATAGCAAAACCCTGTCTCTATTCAAATACAAGAATTAGCTGGGCATGGTGGTGTGTAGCTGTAATCCTAGCTACTTGGGAGGTTGAGGTAGGAGAATCGCTTGAACCCAGGAGGCAGAGGTTGCAGTGAGCCAATATTGTGCCACTACACCCCAGCCTGGGTGACAGAGTGAGACTCCATCTCAAAAAAAAAAAAAAAAATTGTAACAGTATTTGGAGATAAGGCCTTTAAATAGGTGATTAAGGTAAAATGGAGCCATATGGGTAGGCCCTAATCCAATGGGACTAGTGTCTTTAGAAGAAGACACTAGGACACAGACCAAACAGACTAAGGGGTGACCATGTGAGGTCATAGAGAGAACGTGTCATCTGCAAGCCAATGGGAGAGGCTCAGAATAAACCAACCCTGCCAGCACCTCTATCTTGGACTTCCAGCCTCTGTTACTGTGAAACAATAAAATTCTGTTGTTTAAACCACCCAGTCTGTGGTATTCTGTTACAGTAAAACTAGCTGAGTAGTACAGACCCTTCTTCATGCAGCTGGTCTGGCAGGTTGGAGAGGGAGACTTCGTGTGGGCATAGTGTCTGCTTTATCCTTGCTTCCTTCACAAAGCTCATGAGTAATCCTTAGGATGGAGCTGTCTTAGGCTGTTTCGGGTGCTGTAACAAAATCATGCACACTGGGTGGCTTTTAAACAACAGAAACATTTCTCACAGTTCTGGAGGCTGAGAAGTTCATGATCAAAGCACCAGCAGATTCCGTGTCTGGTGAGGGCCACTTCCTGGTTTATAGAAGGTGCCTTCTTGCTGTGTCCTCGCATGATGGAAGGGACAAGTGGGTTTTTAAGGGTCTTTTTTGAGATGGGGTCTCCTCTGTCACCCAGGCTGGAGTACAGTGGCACCTTCTTAGCTCACTGCAGATTTGAGTTCCTGGGTTCCTGTGATCCTCTCCCACCTCAGCCTCCAAAGTAGCTGGGACTATACGCACGTACCACCATGCCTGTTTTTTTTATATTTTTATTTTTTGTAGATATGGGGCCTCTTATTGTTGCCCAAGCTGGTCTTGAACTCTGGTCTCAAGCAATCCTCCTGCCTCAGCATCCCAAAGTGTTGGGATTATGGGCTTTTTTGTTTTATTTTATTTTATTTTATTTTATTTTTTTGAGGTAGGGTCTCACTCTGTCACCCAGGCTAGAGTGCAGTGGCATGATCTTGGCTCATGCAACTTCTGCCTCCGGGGCTTAAGTGATTCTCCTACCTCAGCCTCCTGAGTAACTGGGACTACAGGTGTGCACCACCACACATGGTTTGTTTGTTTTTTGTTTTTTGTAGAGATAGCGTTTCACGATGTTGCTCAGGCTGGTCTGGAATTCCTGGACTCAAACAATCCACCTGCCTTAGCCTCCAAACCTGCTGAGATTACAAGTGTGAGCCACCACGCCCAGCCTGGAGTTTCTTTTATAAGGGCATTAATCTCATTCATAAGGGCTTCAGCCTCCTGACCTAATCACTTCACAAGAGACATATCTGAATACCATGACGTTGCAGGTTAGGTTTCAACATACAAAGTTGGGGGGACACAAACATTCAGACGATAGTTGGAGTGAAAGTCTGTCTCCCTCCCCCATCACTACACACACTCACTCCCTTAGTCTCATAGCCTGGGAAGAGATTTTATTTTTTTAGCGCCTTTGTTAGCGGCTAGTTGTGGGAAGACAACTCACTACATTTTAGGCTAAAAGTAGACATTTGTTTCATTCACCAGCAGCCTTTTCCATCTGTCACTGTGAGAAAACTTAGTAGGACTTGACAGTCACATGAGTTCCATGGATTTCACCATCCCCTTAGTAACTTTTTTCAGACTTAAACACTTTAAGCCACCATTTCTTTCTCCCCATCCCCCTACTTTTTCCGTCTCCTTTAATCTTGGATTAATATTATACATGAAGGAACCAAGCATTAATCTCTCTTTCACCATAGGTGGTGAGAACATAATTTCTTTTTATAAATTTTTCAAAGTGGAAGATAAGGAAAAACACTAACAGTATAATTAAAGATAAAATAGAAGAAGACTGAAATAAATTTGAATTCTTCGGAGATGGGGCACCTGTGAAGCTTTTCATTATGGTCTAATTTCTGACAGTCACAGATAAGGGAGGCCCACTCCTCTTTTCCATTTCTGGGATGTGACTTTAGAAAGAGCTGTAAGATATTTTTTTTTTTAATTGAGATTCAGGGGGTATATGTGCAGGTTTGTTACATAGATATATTGCGTAATGCTAGAGCTTGGGCTTCTATTGAACCCATCACCCAAGTACTCAACAGGTGGTTTTTCAACCCTTGCCCTCCTCCCAACCTCCTCCTTTTTGAAGTGCCCAGTGTCTGTTGTTTCCATCTGTAAAGGATATTTTTTCTTTTTCTGAGACAGAGTCTCACTCTGTTGCCCAGGCTGGAGTGCAGTGGCACAATCTCGGCTCACTGCAACCTCCATCTCCTGGGTTCAAGCAATTCTCGTGCCTCAGCCTCCCGAGTAGTTGAGATTACAGGTGTGCACCACCACCCCTGGCTAGTTTTTGTGTCTTTAGTAGAGACGGGGTTTCGCCTTATTGGCCAGGCTGGTCTTGGACTCCTGACCTCAGGGGATCCACCCACCTTGGTCACCATGCCTGGCCTCCATCTGTAAAGGATTTTTAAGAGTGGGAGTCTACTAATCTCAATAGGTATGAGCAGAACTTGCTGTCCTGGTTCTTTTCCCCTGAAAGAAAACTGTGGCTTGTTTTTCAATTTTTAAAAAAATAATAATGAGTCTGGTGTGTGAAGAAAGCCAATATGGGGCTGGGGTCTTCCCTGGATGACCCTTATAAGCCAAAGGTGGGATACAAGTGGAAGAGGAGACAGGGATCCTAGGGTTAGGAGGCTGCGGGGAACAGTGGTGAGAATGGCTAAAGAACAGAAAGCAAAACGAAAAATCAAATAGAAAAGGTTTCATAAGGGCCCAAAGACCTGGATGTTTACACTAATAAAATTAATTATGCCATTGTCCATGTCAGTTGTTTGAATATGGGGGCTGAGGGGACAGACACATTTTCTGTAAGATTATTCTAAGGGTAGCATGACCTGACCACATACAATCTATTGTCCAAACTGTTATTATTAATAATTATGCTTACACAACAGTCATAAACCAAGAATGTCCCAAGTAAACTAGAATGTAAAGTTTACTTTTACATTTAGAATTTACCTTTAGAATGGCTAGGAGTTACTTCAGCAGCCAATCCTTTTTTTCTTTATTTCTAAGACAGGATCTCGCTCTGTCACTCAGGCTGGAGTTTAGTGGTACAGTCTTGGCTCACTGAAACCTCTACCTTCCAAGCTGAAGCAATTCTACTGCCTCTGCCTCCAGAGTAGCTGGGGTTATAGGCATCCACCACCACGGCTGGCTAATTTTTGTATTTTTTGTGGAGACAGGATTTCGCCGTGTTGGCCAGGCTAGTCCGGAACTCCTGACTTCAAGTGATCCACCCGCCTCAGCCTCCCAAAGTGCTGATATTACAGGCATGAGCCACTGCATCCAGCCCCAATCCTTTCTTTATTCATGCAGTACCCACGGTAACCAAAATGATGAAAATCACAGTGAACATTCCTGCAAATGGGCAGGGCTTTGTGAGAACCATCTCACTAGTTAACTCCAGAGAGAGGCAGATGCAAACACAGAAAAATTATGACAATGTCTACCACATCATTCTCGGAGGAGAGAAGATAATAATATTTCCATAATTTGAAACTTAGAGATGTCCGAGAATGTACTCGAAGTTTTCACTCCAGAACACACATTATTGACCATTACTACACTATTGCCTCTTGGCAATACCTTCTCTCGTCTATTTATGTAAGTTCTATGCTCACACTGAGTGCTTTCTAGGGAGCTTTCCATGACTGCCCCACTTCATTTTTATTGCTCCAGACTTTGAAACCTTATTACACCTACAGTTAGCACCATGCGATTCACATGTAATAATCTCATCTCCCTGGAAGAAAAGGTAGGAGGTTTTATTTTGTGCCTAATGCCATTCTCCAAACACAAAGGTCTTTACAAATATCTGTATCTATAGATAGATGGATATAGATATAGCTATCACACACACACACAATAAAGCAGAACGGTTTCATATATTAAATCTTGGTGAACTAGGCTGAGTGTGGTGGCTCATGCCTGTAATCCCAGCTTTTTAGGAGGCCGAGGGAGGATCACTTGAGCACAAGAGTTCCAGACTAGGCTGGACAACACTTCCAGACCCCATCTCTACAAAAAATTAAAAAAATTAGCCAGGTGTGTGGCTAGTTTTGGGAAGACAACTCACATTTTAGGCTAAAGTTAGACATTCGTTTATTTGTTTTGAGTACTCCTAGCTACTGAGGAGGCTGAGGTGGGAGGATTGCCTGAGCCTAGGAGTTGTTGGCTGCAGTGAACTATGATTGAGTCACTTTACTCCAGCTTGAGTGACAAAGTGAGATCCTGTCTTAAATAAAAGAAAAACTTGGTGAACTTTTTCCATTTCTCTGCATCTTGCTAGCGGAAGATAAGCCCCTATATCTTGGCAACTTCCTATGCTTTAACTCCCAAAGTGGAATTTGTGTTACTCATATGCTATATGTACTAAAAAAAGTTTTTATTTTTTAATTTTAGGAAGTCTGTTTGTTATGATTAAAATCACAGACCTGAGCTCATTTTAGAGAGACCTATCTTCATTTTGGTACAAGTTATTTTATTCGACACCACCTATTTGTAAATGTTTTTAAGTAATAATAAAAAGAAGTGAGGTCTATCAAAAATGACAAAATTAAGAACTACATCTCAAGCATAAATAACCTGAATTTATCAACTTACATGATTGTAATGACAAATTAACTAATAGGACCAAGTAGAGAATTGTTTAGATATTATCCAATAAATAACACAACAAAAGAGTTTTTCCAAAGATTTATTGAAGCAGAACCAAGTTGGTTGGATACTTGCTGGAAAAAAAAAAGCAGTTTTAATGGTATTCAAAATACCTTTTAAAAAGTATTCTAGCACAAGATTTTTCTGTAAACTAGATTATGTTGTAAACTTTTTTCTAAATCTTGTAGGAGTGTCGGTTGTTAAGAACTAGAGCTTATTCCTATTCCAAATCTATCTTGCGCTCCTGAAAAACTGCAGAAAGGCACTTGAAAGCTGTTTCTTTAAGATATGGATTTCTTTTTTATTCTTGCTGGTAATATATTGCTGCACTGAGTGTGTGCAATTTTTATTCAAGGTCATCGTGATGCTGAGAAGTTTCGTTGATAACCTGTTTAAAAAAAAAAACCAAAATAAATATAATGCCACATGCCAAAGACTAAATTATCCTATATATCACGGCAAATAAAAATCCTGCTAAATATATGTAATTTATTGTGCAAATCAGAAGGTTATGTTGCTTCTGCATGAGTGAAAACTAGAAGGGGCAGACACACAAGACCCTCTTCCACTACAGGCAATATAAGGATCCAGTGGAATGTTGTAACTTACAAAAAGAAATTTCTTAAAAAACTGTGTTTATAAAAGATGGTATAATAGTTGTACACAATACAGCCAAGTTTAAAAGCAATTAAGACATATTAAAATGTGCAGCAGGTACATTTTAAATTTATGTGCAAGGGAAGATTTCATGATGACTACAATAAATTGCAACTATTTCTTTCCTGGCATAGGGAGGTAATAAGAAACTAAATGATCGTATGGCACATGCTTGTATTATATAGATGGGTTTAGGAATCTATAAAGTATGGAGGTAGGAAGACACCATATGTCCAGGATCAAAACATTCCTCATATTGAGGTAGTCTAGTGAAGCTGTTTCATGTAGCTGCTTTAGGAAGTGGTTTAAGGAAGCTTACTCCCACTTCAAATTAAGCACCAAAGCAAATCACTAATTCTGGAGCACAGGAAGACTGCTATCTCAACTTCACATCCAGGAGCCAAATAATTAGTTGGCTGTGTGTACTGCTGGAAGAAGAAGCCTATTCTTTTTTTAGTAGGCATGAATGAAACCTGAACCTCTCAAATTAGCCAGCTGTATCTGAGATTCAGATTCACTGATTTTAAAATATATCAACTCCTGTCTGAGATTACCCTATTTTTTCCTTAAAAGATACCAACCTGTCCATCTCTAGTTTCAACCGTCTTAATCAGAAGTGTCCTTTTTGAGTGGGTATCAACCAGAGGGAGTGAATCCAGATTAGTTTCTAAATAAACAAACAGGCCAAAAATGAGTAAAAACGAGTTTTTTCTTGGAAAAACCAAGTAACCATTTTACTGAAACAATTATGATTTGTGGGGGAGAGGCAATTGTGTAAAGTACTACTCGCCAAATAATTTTAGGGTAGTCTCTGTTTGGAAACCCAGGCCCTGACACTCTTGAGCATCAGGATGAGATAGTACTTGCAGCAGGAAGAAGGAAAAAGGAGTTTGCATTTAACTTAAAGCATAGAATGCAAGAGTGTACTTGGGTTCGAAAATTATAGATGTTTTATAGAGTTTTCTCTTATATGGCATTTTTTCAGATATCCTAAAAAAAATGAATGCTTTGACATAAACACAGTGGTTACAAGCAGCTGACGTTTTTCCTAAAGGGAAATAAAATGCTTACCCCTCAGGTTCAGGGAGGAAAAGTTTGGAAGAGGCAGAGAAATCCTATAAACAGATGAAGAGAAACAGTAAAATTGTTGGCAAATAACTTCAACCACTGGGAACAAATTAACACACTTTTTGTTTTCGTCACGTAAGAAAACGTACTGTTTTAAATCATAAACTAGAGATTTGTCTCAGAAACATTTTCCCATGACTGGTCTTGTTAGTACATTTAAAATATGTTACTACAAGCATTTTCTCCACAGGAGCATGAACAGGAGTTAGGAGTGGAGGCTTTGACAGAGTTATGGGTTCAAATCCCAGCTCTGCTGTTGATTAACCCTTTTTCAGCAAGTCACTTACTCTCTCTCAATTCAAATTCCTCCTCTACAAAAAGTGGAAAGCAGTTACCTCAAAGAAACTTTCTAAAGATTAAATGTGACACTGCTTAGAGCCCAGTGGCACAGGGCCTAACAAATGGTCACCATTAGTTCACGCATCCAAGTCTGAGTTCCCTACCTGCTCTCCTCGCCTTCCAGCAGCTTCCTGTAGGTGGCAATCTCAATGTCAAGGGCCATCTTAACATTGAGCAGGTCTTGGTATTCACGAAGGTGACGAGCCATTTCCTCCTTCATATTCTGAATCTCATCCTGCAGGCGGCCAATAGTGTCTTGGTAGTTAGCAGCTTCAACGGCAAAGTTCTCTTCCATTTCACGCATCTGGCGTTCCAGGGACTCATTCTGCAGGGGGTGAGAAAGATGTCTGGTGTTATTTCTCAGAAAAACCCAGCTGTTCCCAGAACCATTTACAGACCTTCTGCAATAATTTCCATTAGCGGCAAATGGCGACCACTCTAATTTTAGGTGGAGAATGCGAGTACCAAGTCCTTCATATTAGAAGCAATGATATAGGCAAGCTAAAACCTTCAAGAGTTCCATGAAGTCCCTTTTGAGTCTGTCTTGATAACTCATTTTCTTTGCATTATGATATACATTTTTACTCACTCAACATTTTGTTCAGGTATCATCATGAGCCTAGTCAGCAGAATGGGTCATTATTTTCCCTCTTTTACTGCAGGGTTGGTACTCACGGTTCCTTTAAGGGCATCCACTTCACAGGTGAGGGACTGCACCTGTCTCCGGTACTCAGTGGACTCCTGCTTTGCCTGGCGCAGGGCGTCATTGTTCCGGTTGGCAGCCTCAGAGAGGTCAGCAAACTGTTGGGAAGAAAACAGAAATGTAGATTGCTCACATTCAAGTCTTTTGACTCTCTTAGAAAAAAAAAATCATATTTCTCACTGAATGTCTTCCAGTATAGGTTTAAATTTCTGTTTTGAAAGCCAGGGAAAGAGCAGTGGAGTACTGACATTAGTATTTTCAGAGTTCACTCTACAGTGCTCATTTCAACACAGTGGAGGTCAAAGGTATGGCATTGGGGTTTACTTGGAGGCAAGGTTAGGGGGAAGAGAGTCTGCTATTCTGAAGGAGGTGATGTGGCCAGGCGTGGTGGCGCATGCCTGTAATCCCAACATTTTGGGAGGCTGAGGAGGGTGGATCACCTGAGGTCAGGAGTTTGAGAGAAGCCTGGTCAACATGGTGAAACCCCATCTCTACTAAAAATACAAAAATTAGCCGGGCATGGTGGTGCTTGCCTGTGGTTCCAGCTCTTAGGGGGCTGAGGCAGGAGAATCACTTGAACCTGGGAGGCGGAGGTTGCAGTGTGCCAAGATGTTGCCACTGCACTCCAGCCTGGGCAGTAGAGCAAGACTCTGTCTCATAAATAAATAAGAAAATAAATAAATAAATAAAGGAGGTGATGTGAGTGGTGGGGAGGCTGTGGTGGCAAACACAATATGAGCAAGAAGTCAAAGCCAGCTTTGCATTGGAGCTAGAGGATATTTAGGAATCACACACAGGTATGGGGTTTTGAGAACACAATGCTTTTCTTTGGTTGAAGCCGCACTGATTTGTTTCCTACCTTGGATTTGTACCATTCTTCTGCCTCCTGCAGGTTCTTGGCAGCCACACTTTCATATTGCTGACGTACGTCACGCAGGGCAGCCGTGAGGTCAGGCTTGGAAACATCCACATCGATTTGGACATGCTGTTCCTGAATCTGAGCCTGCAGCTCCTGGATTTCCTGCAAAAAGAACAGACAGACGGTCAGCTCTGCCAACCGTGGGGGCTGCCTTACCCTCATTCATTCCCCGAAAGTCACTCCACTAACCTCTTCGTGGAGTTTCTTCAAAAAGGCAATCTCTTCTTGCAAAGATTCCACTTTGCGTTCAAGGTCAAGACGTGCCAGAGACGCATTGTCAACATCCTATTTTGAACAGAGAAAAGACAGGACATGGAGGATGTAAAAGTGTATGGCTTATCTCATTTATTTGTCTTAGATTAACCATCTGAACCTAGTCTCCTTACTATAGAAAAGCCGTTGACACATTTTATGACCCTGGAATAGGTTTATAAATCATTCAGTGCTATAATATGCTGTGCTTTCTCCTGCTCACTAATATATTTTAATTGTGACTGCTTGTGTTTTACTCAAGGTGGTGATCAGACAATTTTAAAATAAATAAATGTCCACACACATGGTAAACTGCACTCAATCATGACTGAATCCACATTTTACCAGTGATATTTTAAAATTACTTTTTAAGGCTGGTCATGGTGGCTTATGCCTGTAATCCCAGCACTTTGGGAGGCTGAGACGGGTGGATCACTTGAGGTCAGGAGTTCGAGACCAGCCTAGCCAACATGGCGAAACCCCGTCTCTACCAAAAATACAAAAATTAGCTGGGTGTGGTGGCACATGCCTGTAGTCCCAGCTACTTGGGAGGTTGAGGCAGGAGAATTTCTTCAACCCAGGAGGCAGAGGTTGCAGTGAGCCAACATAGTGCCACTGCACTCCAGCCTGGGCAACAGAGTGACACTCTGTCTCAAAAAATAAAGTAATTCATTTAATTTAATTACTTTTTAAATCTAG
The DNA here is from genome assembly GCF_000001405.40 of Homo sapiens. Lineage (NCBI taxonomy): Eukaryota > Metazoa > Chordata > Mammalia > Primates > Hominidae > Homo > Homo sapiens. Next base: position 17,232,920 of record NC_000010.11, on the reverse strand, counting down.
AAAATCTATGCCACAACATTTTTAAGATTTGTTTTGTAATTTCATGGAATAACATGATGATAGAGGTGGACAAATTTTCACAACTTCATGTACACTTGAGTACATGGAGAACAGAAACTTGTGCTTCAAGAGTTTTAGCTTTTCTTCTCCACTCAAATCTTTTGAAACTTATCCTTAGGCTCCAAAGCAAATATGTAGTCATCTGGCATCCATTGTACAAGGCTAGATTTATATTCAATAACCCAATTCAGGATATGCATGCCAAAGATTCAGTTCAGGAAAAAATGGAAAAGAAATGTAACTCTGAACTGTATTTGCTTGGCTTTCTCTGGTGGATTTTTCTTCTAAAACTCCTTTGACTCATCCTGTAAAGGCATGTCTTTTTCACTTGCCACTGTATCAGTTCAGTTAGCCTGTTTCAGAATGACTGGTCAAGCTTGCAAAGAATGAAACTACATAAAGGATTTTTGCTGATTCAGCCGTCCTTCTATATTTCCATTTAAAAAGCTCAGCATTCCAAATCAGAATATGTAATCTTGCAACTAAGATTTTATTTCCTCTCAAAAGGATGCGTGAGGATTGCTTATCTTGTCAGCAATTATATTTGGAGTTCATAGCCTTACGGTCTTAAACTGTTGAGACTTTTCTATCACCTTAGTGGAAAAATGAATGAAGAGTGGGTGACAAAAAGATCAGACTTGATGAAAACATTGATTTTTACTTGTTAAGCCCTGAAAAATACATAAAAGATATTTTACTAACCTCCAAAGAAAGATCAATGTGGTATTCTATCACATTGAAGAGAATGAGGAATTTTGCTTAATCTCGAAACAGAGGATCTTTTGTATTGATGTTGTTTTATGTTAACTCACTACACTGCAGAAAACATGACAGGTATGATAATCAAAAATGCTCAAGGACTAAAATGAACCACACACATTGCTGTGGTTAAATTAATTTGGTAAATGTATTTCAGTTTCAAAATGTTATACTACACTATTCATCTGAGAGTGCTTTGCAGTTAATCCCAGTAAATATTCCAGGGAATACAACTATAAACTATAATGGGGATCTTCTGGCTTTTGGATTCCAATTTTAAGTTAAAAATTCTGTAAGTCCATCTAATTTTGGTGAAAAAAAAAAAAAACACGCACAAAAACCCTTTAGTTAAAATTCAGTTTTTCAGCCTTGGGTTTATTACTGTTATTATTTTTTATGGCAAGAGTGCTAAAGAACACAAGAACCCAATCAAGAAAGGACTTTTAAAATGTGAGGTATGCTTGTAGCTTTAAAAACTTTTTACATTACCTACTTCTCAAGTCTGGGCCAGATATTAGATAACGGATGTTAGCAAATACTTGTGTCCAATTAGAACCGTGCTTACATCATTACATATTCAGTAAGAATGTAGCCTGTTGCAAAGCTTCCCTGGGAATACAAAGACTCCTATTATTTCTGTCCAGAGCCACCACATTTGCCAGAATGTCTGTATCTACATTCCATAGTGAAGCCCATAGAAACCATTAATACCCCTTAGCCAAGGGGACAGATGGCTCCTTTTCACCCTTATTAGATCACAAAATAGTTGTGCATAGTGATACTTCCATCGAACTTTAATGACACAATAGAATTTGCAAAGAAGAAAAGAAACTTGCTGGCTCCATTCCAGTTGGAAACTAAGTTTTCTTATCTTCCAACACGTTTTCCATTTTAAACTGCAGGGCATAATTGCGCTTTTTGTGGCCTTGTAAAAATTAAGCAACTTGACTTTGGCAAACCACAATCTAAAATTGTAACCGTTCGAAACCAGAAGGTCAATGTGTTGCAAAACTGTGCAACATTTGGGAAACAAAGTAAAAAGTTAAAAGATTTTTCTTTATGTCCCAAGGAACTGCTTAGAAATCATTCAAGGATCGCTTGAACCCGGGAGGCGGAGGATGCAGTGAGCCAAGATCTCGCCACTGCACTCCAGCCTGGGCGACAGAGTAAGACTCCGTCTCAAAAAAAAAAAAAAAATCGCTCAAGGGGTTTTATTAATATTTTTCTAATCATGAGAAGCTCCAACCTGTGGTCTTCCCGCCACTAGAGGGCTTTACGCGCAGCCCTGAAGTTTTGCACTTTTTAGACGTGAGTTAAGCAACTTTTAGAATTGCTCGTGGGTTGTGTTGGGTGGGGTCAGGCGGCTGCGAGTGGGAAGAGAGTCTACAAACCTGTCTGAAAGATTGCAGGGTGTTTTCGGCTTCCTCTCTCTGAAGCATCTCCTCCTGCAATCTGAAACAGTTGCGCATTAACCAAAGGGGAACGAGGAAACCGCCAGGGGCGGGGCGGCCACACCCAAACACCACGTATTCGCTCTGCGCCTCCAGAGCAGCTGCGCCACCTCCGCGCAACTAGCGCCTGCAGCTTTCAGACCTGCTGCCCTCGGCAGGTTTCAGCGGGACTTCGGGCACCGCGCAGAGGGGCAATCACGGTGGCCGCACAGACCTACAGGACAGCCCCGCCATCCCCGCCCCCGAGGGACCATCCCTTTGTCTCGCTCCCTCCACCGCCTTCCCCTCCTTCCTTCTCCCGCCCGGTGATTGGCAGCCTGCCAGAAGGGGCAGGAAACTTTCTGAAAGTTTGGAGGACTGGCTCTCATTGTGCCCAAGGGCCTTCAACTGCACACAAAGTGGTAGTTTTAAGAAATCTGTAACTTGAAACGGAGCGTCCTTGGGCAATGTGTGGGGACAGAGGAGGAAATGCGAACTGCAAGGTCTGGGTTCTGGGCGGGGCTGCGCCACCACAGCCACAGCCCCGCTCTCCGCTGTCTCCCTGGCAGGCCTCCCCCCGGCCACATCCCCAAGGGCGTGGCAGCTCTCGCGGGGGCCGGGGGGGCGTTCCCCTCTCCCTCCAGCCCCCTCCCGAGGCCCAGCTACTTGCATGGGCGCAGCCTTACTTCTCCCGGAGGCGCATGATGTCCTCGGCCAGGTTGTCGCGCTCCACCTCGACGCGGGCTTTGTCGTTGGTTAGCTGGTCCACCTGCCGGCGCAGCTCCCGCATCTCCTCCTCGTAGAGGTCCCCCAGGCGCGACTTGCCTTGGCCCTTGAGCTGCTCGAGCTCGGCCAGCAGGATCTTATTCTGCTGCTCCAGGAAGCGCACCTTGTCGATGTAGTTGGCGAAGCGGTCATTCAGCTCCTGCAGCTCCACCTTCTCGTTGGTGCGGGTGTTCTTGAACTCGGTGTTGATGGCGTCGGCCAGCGAGAAGTCCACCGAGTCCTGCAGGAGCCGCACCCCGGGCACGCTGCTCCGCAGGCGCACGGCAGAGGAGCGCGTGGCATACACGCCGCCCGGGGACGAGGCGTAGAGGCTGCGGCTGGTGCTGGGGCGCAGCGCGCTGCCCAGGCTGTAGGTGCGGGTGGACGTAGTCACGTAGCTCCGGCTGGAGCTCGGCCGGCTCGCGGTGCCCGGGCCGCCGAACATCCTGCGGTAGGAGGACGAGGACACGGACCTGGTGGACATGGCTGCGGAGGGTGGCGATGGCCTGGGCGGCGGCGGTGGCGCGGACTGGCTCCCGGAGAAGAGGCGAACGAGGGCGCGGTGGGTGTGGGTGGTGGGAGCGCGGCTGCGTCTCTGGCGCGGGGACCTCGGAGCGAGAGTGGCAGAGGACTGGACCCCGCCGAGGGCGCTGTTTTTATAACCCCGTTAGGAAAGAGGGTCCCCTCCCACTGCCATCCCAGCCGCGGAGCGCGCCAGCCAATAGGGACCTAGCGAGAAGCGGGGAGGGTGGGCGGGTGGGGTGGGGGCGCCCTCGAGCCTTCCTGCTCCGGGGCCTGGGACTGGGCATGGTCCCGTTACTTCAGCGCTGGGCTGGGACTTTTGGGGGCTTTCCGGATGATAGTCTGAGCTGGGCTCACCCTGGGGTGCTGAAAAAGGCGGGGTCGCGCGGTGAGGGGGGGGTCCGCCTGGGACTGAACCAGAGGGGTCCGGTGGCACCACGCCAAAGGGGCGTGGGAGGAGGTGCGCGGCGGTCTCGGGGCTGCGGTCAGGCGGGGAGACCCGCGGGCAAAGGAGCGGGAAGAGGAAAGAGTAAGGAATCCCTCAGATCTGAAGTCGCGGAGAAAGAAACAAAGAGCGCCTGAGATTGGAACGCGGGGTGGGGGCGCGCACAGCGCAGGAACGCAGGGCTCAGGCCTCGCCGCAGCCTCGCGCGCCGCCCGCTTGGAAAGGGGGGCTGCTCCGGCCCGCGCCTCTGTCCATCGACTTGCCTTGGCGGAGAGATGTTGGGGGGAGGGGAGGTTCTGTCGAGGGACCTAACGGGCTCAGTCCAGCTTCGGACGGCGGGAGTTGCGAGACGGCGGTGGCAGAGGAAAGCCCGAGGGAGAGGGGTGGGGTCGCTTAGTCACCGGCGGTGACTCACCGCGCCCTGCTGTCCCGCCGATTGAGGGCTCCTAGCGGTTTAGGGGAAACCGTTAGACCAGATTGATTCAAGTCTCAGCGGGCTCCGCGCGCGCTGCTAGTTCTCAGTGCTACCAACTTACAGCTGGGCCATCGCCTTGCTGTGTGCGGTCGGGCCCTGTGGGGGACAAGAGCGCCCCTAAGTTTTTAATAACTCGCTAAAGCCTGTCTTTGCTCGAATGTGCGGACTTTTTGTTAGCAAGAAACTTCTGCAGCCTTTGGAGAGGCGCCATACGTGGGCCTCCCAGATCACGATTGCACCGGGAAGGTTTTTCTTGCAGAGTCCCCGCCCCCGTCCCTCTGGTCTCCTCTCGCTCTTCCCCCTCCCCCCATGAAACCACACCCAACTTTTTAAACAAGATCTGAAAATTCTGGGTGAAAGAGGAAACTCGACGTCCGTAGTTTCAAAATAGAACTCAGTGATCAGTGGTTTTTACCCTGGTGGAAGTCATTAAAGGTATAATATGAGCCAGTTAAAGAATTAATTAGGTGTTGCTTAAAAACCCCAATTTGATTAATGAGTTCAAATGAAAGGCAATTATGTAACACAAATGACAGAATCTTTGGCGGCAATAGATTTATGTGTTAATTTTAGGACAGCAATGCACAGTACAGGGTTCACGGTGATTTGTCTGGGAAATGCCATAGGTCCTGTTTTCCAAAAGAATTCGTGCAATTGACCTTGGGGTGAGGGGGATAAAACTGTCTACGCAGCAAAAAACTTCGTGTCCAAGACATGGAGGGAGTGTTCAGATTCGGTCACCTTAACCTTTCTAGGGAAATCACTCAATTCAAGGGCTGTTGTTTCAATATTAGTAACGAGCAGAGCTGAGTACTTACCCGCCAAGGGAGATAAAAGGAGACTATGTAAATCAGTCTTCTCGTGATTTAGTAGCAATTGAAAAGGCACAGGTTTTTTTGAGTATTTAGATTTATGGTGTACTGAAAGGATTAACTGCAGAACCACTGTAAAATTGATTCTGCAGTGGATAGGAGAAAAAAAAGTATTTCTCTCTTTTTTTTTGGTGGCGGCAGGGGGTACTGCAGGTTACTTGGTATTTAAGAAACATAATTTAGAGGTAAATGAAGAGCGTATTCTGACTTCTTTGGACAAGCCTCTTTTAGGCAATATTTTGTTTACCTTATCCCAGTTCGTTCTTGCAAATGGTGCTTGCCAAGGTGGAATTACAGGACTCTCTACTGCCCAGCTCGCCTGCTGGGGCTTTCTTTTATTCTCTCTTTCACTGGGAGGCTGCAGGTCATTCCCCAAGAGCATTCCTGGGGCTGGGTGCCCTGGAGGACAAGCCTATGCTCTGAGTTACATCTTGCTTTCTGAGAGCCCTTTATTCAAGCCACTGCTCAGCAAATGCCACCATTGTGAGTGTGCCTGGAACCCTTAGAATGAGAAAAGTGATCTCCCTATGGGAGGAAGAGAGTGTGGAACTCACTTCTACGTGCAGTGCCGATCCCAGGGCAATGCGACGCTTGCTGACTGACTCACTATGGAAAAGGAGGACAAGGCATTGGCGAGGTGTGGCACTGTGCCCTGCTGGTGCCCATAGCCGATTCCTCAGGGCTGCGGTGATGTCTCCTGGAATGGGCACTGGTCCTCTTCATCATCTCAGGGATAGGTAGCTCCTCCTTCCAACCTGTCCCCATTCTGAAGTCTCTGGGCTGTGATAGGCTGCTCTCTTGTCACAGACATATGTTTGTTTGATGCATATAGAATGTATAAAAGTGTAGGTGTTCTGTAGTCCCAGCACTTTGGGAGGCCAAAGCAGGAGGATTGCTTGAGATCAGGAGTTTGAGACCAGCTTAGGCAACATATATATATGAAACCAAAAAAAGCCAGGCGTGATGGTGCACACCTGTGGTCCCAGCTACTTGGGAGACTAAGGCAGGGGGATTGCTTGAGCCTGGGAAATTGAGGCTGCAGTAGGCTGTGCACACCACTGCACTCCACCCTGTGCAACAGAGTGAGAACCTGTCTCAAAATAAAGTATATGTATGTACTACACACACATATACATACGCACATATACAGCGTTCAATGTGTTTTTCCTATTAGAAAATGCCATTGTTTTTGGTGGGCTGCAAGAGAAGTGAAAGTTGCAGAAACACTTTCATTCATTCATGTAGAATTCATGAGACTTAAGAATTCATTTCATTCTGAGATAAGATATACAGTGCCTCAATCAATGGGTGATAGTTTTCAGTCAGGGAGATCAATGAATCTGAACTCACATCCTTGAGTGAGACAACTCAGCCTGCTCTCTATGCTACTGTGTTCTTAGGTATCTTTTGGGTACACAGACATAGCTTTCCCGGGTTTTGTGTTTATTTTTTAATTGCTATGAAAACCTATCTGAGAAGTATTTTCAAGTGCTGGACTGGGAAGCTGCTTTCAACACAGCATGATGCAAGTTGCATATAAATAAAGACGTGGTGGTATAATTCATAGGCCAGGCATAAACACTACCACATCTAAATTACCAACAGTGATTTTGGAATTTGCAAGCTGTCATGATGTCAGTTGAATTGGGTGACTTAAACTGACGGACCAGCCAGCCGTGTGGACAGAAGCTTAGTGGCCTATGGAGGCTTTGGGAAAGCTGGCTAGCCATGCCAAGAGAACAGCATCTAGCAGGACTGTTTGGATGGAATGTTAGAAAGAAGAAGGAGGGTACACTGAGAGCATGAAAACCATAGCAAAACCTAAAATCCATGGAAATACAGGTAATAATAATAAATAGTATAATAGGTAATGTCGATGCCAACTGAATGACAGACACTGTGTATATATTTAATTTAACTTGATGCACTCACACCCTCCTGCAAGATAGACTTGATCATCCATTTCACTAATGAGGAGCCTAAGATGCAGGCTAGCAATTTTCTTGTGGTTGTATGACTAGCAGGGGTGGGAAGAAGGGGACAAGAATTTGAATCGAGGCCTTTCTGACTCTAAATGCACTTCTCTTTTCTGTTTGCCTTGATAACAAAATTTTGCTTACTATCAACCAGTTCAATTCACAAATATTAAGTGCTGGACTTATCATTTAGGGACCTACTGTGTTCCAGGAACTGAAGAGATGGGATGATTAACACAGATCTTGCTGCGAAGGGGCATATTTTTAGAGGAATTTGGCAGACAGCTATAACACCATGTTTACGATGTAAAATGATGTAAAAAACAAAATCAAATGACGTAACAGTGATCATACTATGTAAGAAGGGAGATTTGTTTTCACCTGCATTCTAAAACATTACTTTCATTAGTGAGTTAAAAATTTTCATTTAGATTCCATTTTGCCTCTTAGGAGGAATCACATTCAAGACTGGGTTTAGCTCGTCTCACGCCCTAAAGCCCATGAACCACCATCGCTTCCCCTGCCAGCTTCCCTGTCTATTCAGGGCAATACAGCAAAACAACAAGATTGGAAACTTTCATCATTGCCACTTCCTAACTAACTCTTCCATCTCAGATCCAATGGGTATCATGCCCCGCTCTTCCTGGATCCACTCCTCTGTTACGTTGCTGTCACTCAGATCCAAGCCATTTCATACCTCCTTCCTGCAATACTGCAATTGGCTTCCGTTCCTCCATGCTTTCTTGCTTTCTTTCTTTTCTTTTTTTTTTTTTTTTTGAGACGGGGTCTCGCTCTGTCCCCCGGGGCTGCAGTGCAGTGGCGCGATCTCGGCTCACTGCAAGCTCCGCTTCCCAGGTTCACGCCATTCTCCTGCCTCAGCCTTCCCAGTAGCTGGGACCAAAGGCGCCCGCCACCAAGCCCGGCTAAGTTTTTGTATTTTTTTAGTAGAGACGGGGTTTCACCGTGTTAGCCAGGATGGTCTCAATCTCCTGACCTCGTGATCCACCCGCCTTGGCCTCCCGAAGTGCTGGGATTACAGGTGTGAGCCGCTGCGCCCGGCCCCTCCATGCTTTCTTTTCTGCCACCAATGCATCTATCTTCAAGCCATCACCCCTTTTTCTTTAAAACTTATATATATATATATAGAGAGAGAGAGAGAGAGAGAGAGAGACAAAGGCTTGCTCTGTTGCCTAGGCTGGAGTGCGGTGGCGCAGTCATAGCTCACTGCAGCCTCTTAACTCTTGAGCTCAAGTATTCCTACTGCCTCAGCCTCCCTAGAAGCTGGGAGTGCCATCCATGCCCAGCTAACTTTTTATTTTTTGTAGAGCCAGGGTCTTGCTATGTTGCCCAAGCTGGTCTTGAACTCCTGGGCTCAAGCAATCCTCCAGCACTGGCCTCCCAAAATGTTGGGATTAAATGTGTGAGCCTCCACATTTGGCCAAAAACTTCCTTCTTTAAACTTCTTGGCAGGAATTGCTCATTTCCTCACTGGAATGTAATCTCCCTAAGGGCAGGTAGGAATTTTTCTCTCTTTTGTTGACTATTGTATTTCCAGTGGCTAGAGAAAAGCCAGGCACATCTGTCGAATATATACATTAATACATGAGTAGTTCATAGAAGGAAGAAATATAGGTGTGGGGCTAATATTTACTGGTGCTTATTATGTTTAAGCATTGTGCTAGTCACTTTAGACATGACTGCATTTAATCTTCACAAGGTATCGTGATACACAACTTTTATTCTTTTACTCCAAACATACTTATTGAGTATTTGCCATGTGCCGGGCAGTCTGGTAGACACTGGGGAAGGGACCAAAGCAGGTATGGCCCAAAGCCTCTTGGAACATAGTGTTGAGTCTGCGTATATGTATATGATACAGAGAGACAATACTCGTAAAGGAACAAACAAAATGATTGCAACTGGTGATAAAGACTATGAGGGAAACAGAAATTTTCCTGCAGAGGAGGTTGAGGATCATAGTTAACTAGTGGCCTTTGGAAGTTATGTCAAGTATATATATCTATCCTCATTTTCCACTGTTCCCCACAAGCAGCAATTTCAGTAGAACCCTAAGCTCCTTCTTCTTCCATGAATATAGTACATTTCCCCCACCCTCAGGTCTTTCCTCATATTCCATTTAACAGATAGATGTATTCATATTTTTTTGCACTGCCTGCAATGTTTCTTAGTATATTTCAGTAAGTAAGGTGCTTTTTGTGCCTCTAGGGATCTCATAGCTTTGTATAAGGATTAGAAAGCAGGTAAAGAGTTGGAATACATAGCAGAATGTGGTAAGTGAGTGCTGTAGCACAGATAGGATAAAATGCTAAAGAGCATAGGTGGAGAAATAATCATTGCAGCGCTATTCACAATAACAAAGACATGGAATCAACTCAGGTGCCCATTAACAGTGGATTGGATAAAGAAAACATGGTACATATACACTGTAGAATATTACATAAGCATTAAAAAGAATGAAATCATGTCCTTTGTAGCAACACGGATACAAGTAGAAACCATAAACCTAAGCAAATTAATGCAGAAACAGAAAACGAAATACTGCATGTTCTCACTTCTAAGTGGGAGCTAAACATTGAGTATACACAGACACAAAGATGGAAACAGTAAACACTAGGGATTCCCAAAGTGGGAAGGGAGGGAGGAGGCAAGGATTGAAAGACCACCTATCGAGTACTATGGTCACTATTTGGGCAACGATATCATTAGAAGCCCAAACCTCAGTATCACACAACATACCTATGTAACAAACTTGCACATGTACCCCCTAAATCTAAATTAAAAAAAAAAACTATAATACTATACCTAAAAATAAGTTAAATTTTGTTGAGAAAAAAAATGATCCTATCTACTTGGGGGAGAACAGAAAATGTCATTAGAAAAGATAGTATTTGAAGAATAAGTACAATTTCTACAGCTTATCATGGCAAAGAAAGGTTGCTCTAGTGCTGACCAAACAGTATAAGCAAAAACTGGGTGGGTGGCAGAGTGCTGAGGACATTTAGGGAACAGGAATAATCCCAGGGTTGCTGGATTATGGAGTATTTGTAGGGGAGAAAGGGAACTGAAAGTTAACGTGGGGCCATGCGTTGGATGAGTAAATGCCAGGAAAAGGAGTTGATAATTAATGTGGTGGGCAGAGGGAATGCATTGTGAATTTCAACTAGGAGAAAGACATGCTTGTAGCTGTATTTTAGGGGTGGAGAATGAGGCTGATTTGAGGTCTGCTTGAGGTAGATCAAGTGGATGGTAAAGGGAGCCTGACGCGGAGATGATTTAAGGAATTGTGATGTTTAAGGGCTAGGGGATAAGAAAAATCGAGTGGGCTCTGAGCCTTGTGAACAGGATAATTAAAAGAATAGATGCGGCTGGGCGCAGTGGCTCACGCCTGTAATCCCAGCACTTTGGGAGACCCAGGCGGGTGGATCATGAGTTCAAGAGATGGAGACCATCCTGGTTAACATCGTGAAACCCTGTCTCTACTAAAAATACAAAAATTAGCTGGGCCTGGTGGTGCCCGCCTGTAGTCCCAGCTACTAGGGAGGTTGGAGCAGGAGAATCACTTGAACCCAGGAGGCGGAGGTTGCAGTGAGCCGAGATTGTGCCCCTGTACTCCAGCCTGGCGACAGAATGAGGCTCCATCTCAAAAAAAAAAAAAAAAAAAAAAAGAAGAAAAAAGAAAGAATAGATGCATTCCAGACAGAAATAATTAGTTGGAAAGTTAATTTGAGTTGAAAGACGGTTAATTCAGGTCCCTTAACCTGGAAATATCTTCCCTTCTCTAGTCTATATAAATTATAGTCTCATGAAGGTGAGCTATAATTGGATAGTGTGGTTTTACATTATGCAGCAGTGGTCTCCAGCCTTTTTGGCACCAGGGACCGATTCCATGGAAGACAATTTTTCCATGGACCAGGCAGGGGGATGGTTTCAGGATGATTCAAACATTTCTATTATTATTACATTGTAATATATAATGAAATAATTATACAACTCACCATAATGTAAAATCAGTGGGAGCCCTGAGCTGGTTTTCCTGCAACTATATGGTCCCATCTGGGGATGATGGGAGACAATGACGGATCATCAGGCGTTATGTTCTCGTAAAGAGCGCACAACCTGGATCCCTGGTATGCACAGTTCACAGTGGGGTTCACGCTCCTACAAGAATCTAATACCCACCGACCACTATCAGACCATAGCCCAGGGTCTACAGCATTTCTAAGCACTTCTAATCTCTTCCCTTAAAGGAATAAAGTAGATGGTCTTTTATTGTCATTTAGCTGCTTTGAGTGTGTTAGTCTTGTTCCCATAGCTAGTATAAAATCATGAACATCACGATTCTCTAAAACAGTGTTTAAAACATCAGAAGGGAAAGAAAAACCTTAAAGACACTTTCTGGGAGGTATCTTTGAACATTTGAGGGGGAAAACATAGCTAACAATTCCCTGTAGACTATAAGTGATTTTTTAACTTCATCAATGTCTAATTCACAGTCTATGACAGAGGAAAGAGAAGGTGGTAAGTATGTAGGGGGAACACAAGAGTTTAATTAACAAATGGAGGAGAAATCTAGTGCAAAAATAAGTTCCAGCTGATGTTGGACAAAGAATTAAAGCCAGATTTTCAGTATTAGTTCACTTGATCAAAAAACAGTAACAACCAAAAACAAACAAAAAACCCATCAATCCAGTTATAAAAACCTCATGTCACTTGAAAGAGCCCTGAATGACATCATCCCAGTTTAGTTACTGGCTGAGTTAGACTACCATAAGAAAACTAGCAGGTATTTGCCCAGTGGCCTATAATGTTGTTTTTCCTTTTTTTTTTTTTTTTTTTTTTTTTTTTGTAGACAGAAAAAGATTATGCCACAGCTAGAAAATTTGCCAAGTGCAATTGGCGTCTTGGGAATTTACTCTGCCTACTTTGAGGAGGTCATGTAGTTCCCCAGTGGTAGAATTTTTTTTCTCAAGATATTTAGGTAAGGGACCTAATAATAATTTTGTTTAATAGCACAATTTTCTTTTTTAACTTTTATTTTAGGTTCAAGGGTACATGTGCAGGTTTGTTATGTAGGTAAATTCGTGTCATGTGGGTTTGTTGTATGGCTGATTTCATCACTCAGGTATTAAGCTTAGTATCCAATAGTTATTTTTTCTTATCTTCTCCCTCCTCCCACCCTCCACCCTCAAGTAGGCCCCAGTGTCTATTGTTCCCCTCTTTGTGTCCATGTGTTCTCATCTTACCTCCCACTTATAAGTGACAACATGCAGTATTTGCTTTTCTGTTCCTGCATTAGTTTGCTAAGGATGATGGTCTCCAGCTGCATCCATGTTCCTGCAAAGGACATGATCTCTTTTTTTTTTTTTTTTTTTGAGACAGAGTCTCACTGTCTCCCAGGTTGGAGTACAGTGGCACGATCTTGGCTGACTGCAACCTCTGCCTCCCAGGTTCAAGCAATTCTCCTGCCTCAGCCTCCCAAGTAGCTGGGATTAGAGGTGCATGCCACCATGCCTGGCTAATTTTTGTGTTTTAGTAGAGACGGGGTTTCATCATATTGGCCAGGCTGGTCTCGAACTCCTGACCTCAGGTGATCTGCCCACCTTGGCCTCCCAAAGTGCTGGGATTACAGGCGTGAGCCACCGTGCCTGGCTGATGTTCTTTTTCATGGTTGCATTGTATTCCATGGTGTATATGTACCACATTTTCCTTAGCCAGTCTCCTATTGATGTGCATATCAGTTTATTAATTTTCTTTTAAAGAACAGATAAATTTATAATGTAAATTTTTATTTGCCTTTATGGTAACCTGCGACATTGGAAGGGGATTATTGACCATCTATATAGTCATAATCTCTTTCCTCTAAATCTGCAAAATATAATGGAACTCCATCTTATGTATTTCAAAACTGATTAATGAATTGACTGATATTTTCAAAAATGGACAATTGGGAGATACTTTAACTCTGGCATATCACATTCACTCAGCCAGTGAAATGATTTTCTTCAGTATATTAAATATTATATTTAATTGTGAATATGTTTGATAAACTCAGAGTTTAAAATAAACCTCTCAAGCTTTGGTTTTTGTGTATAGTGACAAAGATCAGTGTGATTTGCAGAGGTTGGAAATGAAAATCAAAGACAAATTCTAGAAAAAAAATAACACAAAGTAACCCTAAATGAAGCCATGTAGCAAATGGAAGGAAATATAAAATGACATAATGACAATATGCAAGGATGAAAAGATAAGAAAATTCATTAACATTACAATGAGATATAAGTAAAGAAAGACCATTCAGAGTTAACTAGCAGAATAAAGGATTTGGCAGCCCTCTTTGTAATTCTACCATGACGATTTCCAAACCACTGAATAAGGTTTTGTATTTCTAATTAGCTAAGTACTAGAAATATGTTCTCTAATGTGACTCATATGGATATGTGGCATATGGACAAAAAAATTCTGTGGTACTCAAGCTTAATATAGATTAAGTACATGTTGTTTGAGACATAAATTATGAGAAGTTTTTCCGATACAATATTGTAATTTACTTGAATGGCATCTCTAGAACTTCAGACAGGTGTGATAGAATACGCTGCAGAGATATTTATGTGTTTGATCAGGGTTTTTCTTTTTCTTTTTTTAAGACAGAGTCTCACTCTGTTGCCCAGGCTGGAGTGCAGTGGCACTATCTCAGCTCCAACCTCTGCCTCCCAAGTTCAGGCGATTCTCCTGCCTCAGCCTCCCAAATAGCTGGGATTACAAGTGCCCACCACTACGCCCGGCTAATGTTGTATTTTTAGTAGAGATGAGGTTTCACCATGTTGGCCAGGCTGGTCTCGAACTCCTAACCTCCAGTGATCCACCCACCTCAGCCTCCCAAAGTTTTGTAATTACGGGCGTGAGCCACCACACCAGGCCAGGGTTTTTCCTTTGCTAACTCTAGGCTAGCTTTCACAGTCCTTGACCAATACTAGGTCCTTGAGCGAACCCCAAACAATCATCACCAGGCACACTTTGATATGATTGCTAAAACTGGAGTCTGACCTGGATAGAAAGGCTAATGATAACCGTAATGATTGCTTTCATATATTGAGTGCCTATGACATATGAAAGCAATCATTATGTACTGCCCATGGGTTAACTTATTTAATCCTCACGACAGCCCGGTTTGACATATGAAGAAACTGAGGCACAGAGAAGGTAAGTAGCTTACTCAAGTTTATCTAGCCAAGAAGTGGCAGACCTGAACACAGGACTTCTGGCTCCAGTCCCCGAACTCTAAACCTCACCGTGCTGTAGTACTTTATATGCCATAGTAATTTTGTGCTACCATTGGAGATGTCCCCAAATCTCTTTGGCATTGTTATCATGATGTTTGTCTCTTTGGTCTACTTTTTTCCTATTCTGATGCAGCAACAGGACCCATTTTGATTCAGAGAATATGGTGCCCTTAATGAATCATCAAGAAGTCCATAGACAGTTTTAGGGGTTTTCTGTGGAGATCTCATTTCTTAATTCTGACTCAACCCACCAGAATGAATGGATAATTATGGCATTTGAATCTTGCATATGATTAAGTGAATAAAAATGCTTTGCCCCATTTGCTAGTAGAAAAGAAATAAAACCACATTTTTGGAATGCAATACTTATATCAGTTAAAAACAACTTCTCCCTATACTTACCATCTATTAGTTTGATTTTTAGGGAGATTTATTAACATTTTAGTCCTTCATGGTAGTACTATTGTGCAATCCAAGAATTATGGGGGAGTTTTTGGAAATGAGAGGAGGCTCAGGGAATTATAGGCAACCAAGATTCTCAAGGCCAAACCCAACAGCGATACTGATAATACATGTGTGCTTACTATCCAGTTTTTAAATTTTCTCATGCAATACTAATCTCATTGCTTTTGTATGTCAGATTTTAAAATAGAGCATGCTTAATATACTTCAGATGTCTGCAAGGGGAACAGCAGCAAATACCACAGTCCCATGGTAAATATAAGGGAAAAACAAAGGCATATATGTGTTAACAAGTCTGATGAATGGCTCATGCCTGTAATCGCAGCACTTTGGGAGGCCGAGGTGAGAGGATCATGAGGTCAGGTGTTCGAGACCAGCCTGGCCAACATGGTGAAACCCCGTCTCTACTAAAAATACAAAAATTAGCAGGGCGTGGTGGCAGGCACCTGTAATCCCAGTTACTCGGGAGGCTGAGGCAGGAGAGTCACTTGAAACCAGAAGGTGGAGGTTGCAGTGAGCTGAGGTCACACCACTGCACTCCAGCCTGGGCAACAAGAGCAAAACTCCATCTCAACAGCAACAACAACATCAATAACAGCAAAGCCTGATGAAATCCTAACTCAGCAGTGGCGCAATTACTTCATAGATTGGATTATTTTGAAAAGAAGCAGCAAACCCCATTTGGTGGATGTATTTTGAGTCTTTTTTTTTTTTCTGAGACAGGAGCTTGCAATACCACCCAGGCTAGAATACAGTGACTCCATCACAGCTCACTGTAGCCTCGACCTCCTGGGCTCAGGCAATCCTCTTACCTCAGCCTCTTGAGCAGCTGGGACTACAGGCACATGCCACCATGCCCAGATAATTTTCTTAAAATATATTTTGTAGAGACAGGGTTTTGCCGTGTTGTCAGGCTAGTCGCAAGCTCCCGAGCTCAAGTGACCCCTCCTTGGCCTACCCAAAGTGCTGGGATTACAGGCATCAGCCACTGCGCCTGCGCGGCCTGCGTTTTGAATCTTTAGGTGAGCAGGCTCCCTGCTAGGTGCTAAGGACGCAGAAATGAATACCACCCCTCCCTTCCTCTCAGAGGGCTCCCAATCTGCTCCTCTTTTCTCTGTTAAATATTTTGCCTTTGAGTCTTGCATAATGATGTGGCCACATTGAGACCTAGTTGAACAGTTTCACAATAACTCCCTTAAGTCAGAGGGCCTTGGTGAAATAACATTGACTTTTACTCTGAAATCCATGGAAATACAAAATTTACTGTTTTGTTCTCCTTGATAAAATATAGCATAATAACTAGTTGCTGGGTTACTACCTAAAACACAGGCCCCAAACTACAGCCAGGAAGGGCAGTTAGCAATTAAGTAAAGGAAATGACTATGACTAGTGGGTCTGAAACCCAACACACTGCCCATATCCTTCTTAGCATAGGGAGGCATTGATGTTACTTAGGCAACTTTTATCACTAAGGAAGTAGTTTTGGTGACTCATGCTCATAACAGAATGACTTATTTCAAGACCTGAGTGTTCAGTAACCTTACCATTATGCTTCTGTTTTCTTTTTTTTTGGACTCAGACAGCAAAGCTCCCTTTGGATGACATAGATTTATTACTTAGTAGTATATTATGTATTGGCTGTCCCACATTTTGAAATTTAATGGACTCGTGGTGATCAGAATAAAAGGTCAGTATTTCCTACAATATGTTGATACGTTAAAGGCAGAACTAACACCTCATTTTCTAAGCAGAACTATTATCTTATTAAATGTCTAAGTTGACATTTCTTGCCAATTTTTTTTTACTTAATGTAACAGTGCTGTTTCAAATACTAGTCATTATTTAATAACTAAAATGGAATGCTGAAGAATTTTATGCTATGACATAAAATGCCGTATTTTTTCCCCAAATATATGAAAAATGGAATTAAAATCTCCACTGAGTGTTGCTATTACAAAAGGAAGAAATCCTAAGGAAATTCATTGGCTAGGTTCTCGGTTCAGATTTACAGCCTACCTGCTTGATGGCCCAACAGCATTTATTTCTTGACAATTGACATTTTTTTCTGTGTTAAAAATAGCTGAGAAGTTGTAGAAAAATTAGTTAATTAAAAGAGTTATAGGTTGCTAATGTGTTTGGAGAGCTTTATGGAAGAACTTACTGTTGACAGAAAAAGCAAGCCACAAGCCAAGGACCTGAGCTGGCTTCTGGGGTAGTGCAGGAGCAACTTGGCTTGGGTTCCAGGGTTTGTCGGGAGCCTTGGAGATGCCAGCTTCCAGTGTGGTCAGCCAAGGATTTACCTGAATCACTAGTATACCTTTTGTCCTAATTCCAGAAATCATGCCATAAGTCTCAAAATTTGGACAGTGTTACTTGAGCTGTTTTTATTTTGCTTTCAATTGAGTCCTTTTCTGGTTTTAATTTTGTAGCTGGAACAGCTTGAAAAAGGCAATGAGTCATGACAAATATTTCTTTTCTTCTCAATATAGAAGCCTTCGATGTGAGGCCCAGGCATTGAGTACCATGTGTGCGATTCACAAGCCTTGGCATCTGAACAATTTTTTGGAAGGATCCATCAGGACAACACGTCGGGGGTGTACTAGTGAAGTGATTTTCCAAATGTGCTACTCAGACCTGTAGCATCAGCATCACCGGATAATTTGTTAGAAATTCCAACTGTTAGGCCCCACTTTAGACCAACTGAATGTGAAACTCTGGGAGTACGTGGGGCCCAGCAATTTGTGTTTTTACAAGACTTACCAGGTGATTCTGAGAACCACTGTGCTAGTGAATTGTTCCTGTCTGTGGCCACGTAGAATAAGAAAACCATAGGGTTGGAAAATGGGGAAACTGGTGAGTGTTCGCTTATGAGGAAATGAAGAATAGATAGAAAAGAATTAGTTAACTTTTGGAATTCAAAAGAGAAGCAGTTTGTAAAAGCCAGGAATTTGATTTGAAGGACTAATTGCTTGCAGAATCTTTGCTTTCTCAGAGAGGGGCAATCCAGATCACTAGGTTACCGTGAAATATGTTGGTATGGCTCTAAAATTCTAGAATAATCTCTCTAGTGAGAAAAGGCATACCTTTCCATATTAGGACAAAACTTCAAATCAGGTTTGTAAAATCCTATAAGATTATTGTATCCCATTGCCATGGCCAACTTGTTTGTCTCTGGAGATCCCAGTTTCTACATCTGAAAACCATATGCATTCCTGCTCACCAGGAATTATCTCGCTGAATGAAGCAAGAGATTCAGGATGTGTAAGAGAATTTATGAAGCATTTGGATTACCAAGAAATGTGAAGTATAAAGATCAAGAATGATTATTACAAACACTGATGGTAAAGAGGTGTTTCGAAGTCGATGCAAAAAATGAGTTGCTTATTTCAGTCTCTCTTTGATATATCTGCCTTTTTAGTGCTGACTCTATCATGTATTCACTATTTGATTTTCAGTGAATCACATTTTTTAAAGCTTTTAATCTGTTTCCTCAAAAAATATATTTTTTAAAAATATTTACTCAGGATTGTTGTGAGAATAAAATTGATTCGATTGATATTTCAAAAAAGAAATATATTTTTAAAAAATAAAGCAATACCATTTTTGGATATGCTAGTGCTCTGACTGTTATTTTATGTCTGGGTTGAGGAATCCTAAAGGACTGTTGACATAATGACATCATCCAGGGGTTTGGAATAAGAGTATACATCAGCAAGTTTTCTGATTACAAAAAGTAGCTATGTTTACTTTTCTGTTAATTCTCCTTCAGTGGAATGTTTCAATTTTCTCATGAGATGGGGGAGATCCATTTTTTTGAGAGCTCTGTTTTATTAAAGAAAGCAAGTCTGGTGGCTCATGCCTATAATTTTAGCACTTCAAGATGCTGAAGTGGGAGGATCACCTGAGCTCAGGAATTCAAGACCAGCCTGGGCAACATAGCAAAAACCTATCTCTATGAAAAATTTTTAAAAATTAGCTGGGCATGGTGTTGCATGCCTGTAGTACCAGTCACTCAGGAGGCTGAGGTGGGAGGATCACTTAAGCCCTGGAGGACTAGGCTGCAGTGAGCAGTAAGCTATGATCATGCCACTGCACTCCGGTCTGGAAGACAGAGTTTGTTTAAAAAAAAAGGCAAATTTGATACTTTGTGTCCTTTGAACTGAGAAAATACATTTCATTCATTCTTTCAGGGAAAAAAAGTGGGACTCTGGAGTCAGAGTCCCCAAGGTAAATTTCTCAGCTCCTATGCTTAGTAATTATGCTACCTTGGAAGAGCCTCATTTTCTTGATATAAAAAATGGAGGTGATAATAACAGTTGTATGTGCATGAAATGAGAAATGTATATAAAATACATAATCGATTGTCTGGCCTAGAGTAAATCCTCAATAAGTGTTGATGGTTGGTGATGATATTATTAAACTATGGCATAAAGAGGAGAAAAAAGAACCTGTGTCCAAAAACCAAGGGCAGGAAGGAATAAGAAGACAAGAGAGCAGTTGATAAACGATCATTTTACAAATGAAAATTTGTGCAGCTCCTGTGACTTTTCCAGTCATTTATTAAAACCAAACCATTCTTTGATCACTTCTAAGGAGAAAAGTGATCATAGTAATTTACAACGCTTACATGTATGTAACTTTCAAAATTTCAATCTTGCCCAAGAGTTAATATCCTCCCTCCCATGGCTTGACTGTGCCTTAGGAAAGGGAAGTCCTGGGTTTCTCACTCTCCCTACTTAGGTGCCTCCCTTCCTCTTCCCTCATTTTGCTAACTAAGGTTTCTTGCCACTGCAGGATTAGAGCTCACAGAGGGAAAGAGGTGCAGGAGATAAGAAAACTCTTACTTGACAAGGGCTATTGGTGATCTGGTGTTTACACCTCAAGGTTTGGCATATGCTCAAAGCTGGCCCTTTTTCTAGCAGGTGCTTCTTTGGGGTTTTCTTCTCTCTCTCTCTCTTTCTCTCTCTCTCTCTCTCTCTCTCTGTCTCTCCCTCTCTTTCTCTTTCTCAAAGCTTCCCTGGCATGCAGACATGCCCTTGTGTCCTGCTTCTCTGTGACTGCTGCCACAGCCCCTAGGAGTCATTCAGTGGTATACCCCTTGTTCCTTTTTGCATGACACCTTTTTTTCTTGTGAGTGACCCCTTGAACAGGGCTTAAGACAGCTTTCTGTCTTGTATGGCTCAGATCTATCCAAGGGAATTACTTTGCCTCCCCAAACTCAAAGGTTAGATGGTTACATTTTAAACTCTCTCGGTGGTTCTCTGAATCTCCTTGTCTCAGGCTTGAGGTGAGAAGCAGACAGCCTCTATAGCATGCTGATAACTTTCTCCAAAGACCTTCTCTTTGTCTTCAAGAATCTTCAACTCTTTTATACCTTCAACATAAGTATATGGTTGTAAGAATTATGTAACTATTTCTGCCCCCCTTCCTTTGGAAAACTTGCATTATACTGCTATATTTCACTTTGGAATATGTTTCTAGTGTTTGGGTACCTTAGGCAAAATATACTCATTTTTTTTTTCCTTTTTCTTTTTGAGAGACAGGTCTCACTAGTCACCCAGGCTGGAGTGCAGTGGTACAATGATAGCTCACTGCAGCCTCAAACTCCTTGGCTCAAGTGATCCTCCTGCCTCAGCCTCCTGAGTACCTGGGACTACAGGCACACACCCCCACACCTGGCTAATGAAATTTTTTTGTTTTGTTTTGTTTTGTTTTGTTTTGTTTAAAGGCTGGTCTTTAACTTCTGGCCTCAAGGGATCCTGCTGTTCTGGTTTCCCAAAACACTGGGATTGTAGACCTGAGCTACTGCACTGCAATGGCCAAAATGTGGTCTATAGCGCCATATTAAAGGTAAAAGGGGGAATAAATCACTTTGTGGATGCCCTGACTTTACAGACCATCATCGTGTAGGAGGTGAGGCTGCTGAGGAGAAGATGCTTTACACACGCAAGGGTTGTAATAATGACTTTCAAGGTACTCAGTCTAATCACAAAATAGAGCTTTAAAGGTGAATTATTTTTGAAATGTTCATATTTAGTATTTTCCTCATAGGCAGAATTTTGAAAGAGTGCGTATCTGAGGCCTGACATATTGTTTTGGGAGCTAAAATGTGTTTAAAATGTAACGTTCAGAGGAAGTTAACTGCTAACTTTTCTCAGTTGTAAGATGATTCCAGATTCCCATGTATATAAAATACATCAGTCTTAAGACAAATTAAACAAAATGTATTATGTATTTTCTTTAAATTATTATTTTTTGCACTTCAGGCATAAATATTTTTAAATATGAAAACTCCACATAAACATATGCGTACAACTCTGAGCTCATGTCAAAAATGTCTGCGACTGCCTCATCATAGTTTTGGAAATAAACATCTTTATTAAAAGACATTCAACAAACTTAAAATTTTTTTTAAGGGGGAGGATGGAATCAAGGTTAACAGAAGGAAGTGCCTTTAATTTTTGTATACTTTTGTAATTTGTTTTACCCCTGGAAATTAGCATGTATTATTTTTAAAATTCAGAAAAATAAAGTCAGCATTTAAAAAGGGTATATATCTTTGATGTGTTTAATGAAGTACAGAACTGATAATGATAACATATTAGGTGAAAAAGAGCTAGGTATAAAACATATGCAATAAGATTCTGATTTGGGTAAAATACAATTAGTTCAAAGACTATGGGGGAGAAACCTCAAAATGTTAGCTATGGTCAGGCACGGTGGCTGACACCTGTAATCCCAGCATTTTGGGAGGCCAAGAAAGGCAGAACAGTTAAGGTCACGAGTTTAAGGCCAGTCTGGCCAACATGATGAAACCCGTCTCTACCAAAAATACAAAAATTAGCCAGGTGTGGTGGTGCATGCCTATAGTCCCAGCCTACTCAGGAGGCTGAGGCAGGAGAATCACTTGAATCCAGGAGGTGGAGGTTGCAGTGAGCTGAGGTCGCACAACTGCATGCCTATTTTACTATTAGCAAAAAAGAGAAAAAATGGTCAGAAGAGAGACTCTTGCAGTTATATTGAGCTTTCAGTACTTTGGGCTTTTCCAATGTTTGTTTATTAAGTCCCTTTCACTTTAGGTGATAATCAAAAATTTATTTTCCAAATAATAATGCCTCATCTCTCGAGGGAACAAGTAACACGATAAAACTGCTTTTTGATTTTAAAACTGTGCAAAGATATATAAATAATGCTGTTTGTTGCATTCTTTTTTCACTCTATTCTAGGATTTGGTCCTAAAATGAAAGGAGAAAAAAAAAAAAAGACATGCAGATTCCTGACATTCTTTCCTAACCAGAATCCTGTCTAACTCCTAATATGAAATCCTTCCTCAAATATATACTAACTCCCTTTCATTTTTATTTGATGAGTTCCAGCCTATTTTTTCCTCAAAAAACTAGTGTTATCGTCTAAATTCCCTTCTTTTAAAAATATGTTTGTGTGATTTGCAAATAAATCTGTTAACCTGCAGAATGTTAACTTATGTGACTTTGAGCAAATGACATGAAGTTTTCTACTTTTTATTTGTAAAAAAGTGAATATTAAGAAAGAAAAGCCGATAGGTCTAAAATGGGTTAATAAGCATTTTAAACATTTATAAAGTTATTTGAAACATACAAGTCATTATTGTGTTATTATTATTTTCCTATTAGTCAAACATACTTTTTCTGTCTTTTGGAATGTGGTCTATTTTCATCAGCCAGTATTCTCTGAGTGACTAAACATAGTACCAATCCCATTGGAGGATTTATACATTTTAACTTAGCAGTAATTACCTTAGATGGAAATAAAACATTTTAGTCTTGATCTGCAGGAATAAGTTTAACTCTGTAAAGTAAAGGTTGACAGCCTCTAGAGCATGAGGCTAGAGGAGAAAGTTTGAAAAATGAAATGTGCTTGTATGTTGTAATATGCTCACGTAAGTGACTTGAAACTGACAAGAAACGTTTTAATAATTTTAAATAATAGGAAGTTTTTTTCTTACAGAGTGAATAGATACAGTCATGGCAGTACTATGAAAGTGTTATTACATTTTAGTTATATTTGTCATTATTGGATCATATGAGAACAATTCTAAGTGATACTGTTGTCTACCTAAACTAGTACCTAAGTAGGGTAAAATTAAAAGTCTTTGTCTTTGAATTTTTTCTGGGTTTTAGTTTATCAGTTCTGATGATGTAGCAATGCAGAAAAAAGACTATGAAGGAGTGTGTGCCTGTGTATGTGTGTATGTGTATGTGTGTTTTCCCTTTCCTGGTGTGAGTAGGTCTGATTTGTGTTCTTTGGTTACCTTGAGCAGTTCTAAATGTTCAGATAAATTACAAGAGAAAAGGAGCAAAGTACTAACAGCTCTCCAAGGTACTAAATTCTGTCTCCTATATTCTCAACATGGGTCGTGTTTTTCCACCTGAAAAGATTGAAGGCTATAATAGAAAACAATACAGAAAGACATCTTGTTAGGCAATATGCAAATTAATCTCTTGGTAGTATACCCTTTATGAAAACATACTAGGAAAATAATTCTCCCTATTGTTAGAAGAAATGGGTTCTATATTATGACAAAGTTGTTCAGAAAGTGAAAGGAAACCAGTATTTATTGTTCTAGGCACATTATTGATATATATCTATCAGTGTGTGTGTGTACATATGTATATACTGATATATATACATATATACACACTTATATACATTGTGTTTATATTGAAATGTACATATATACATTGTCTATATACACACATTGTATATATAGGTATGTACACATATAAATGATATATGTATATATTGATATGTACACATATATAATTGATATGTGTACAATTATTTACACATGATATATATATACACACACAGTTACCTTGTTATCAAATATTTCCCGTTTAATATGTGAAGAAAGGGAGTATTTGAGGCAGGATCCATGGTAATCCATCTAGTTCTAAGGACCATATTCTTTGTCCTGTATCAAGCTGTCTTTGCAGGAGTGATTGGGCAGGGGATCTGTTATCAATGTTAAACATTAGTTTCTGAGATAGTCTCTATTTTGTGCAGCTATGTTAACATTTTTGTCTGGCTTTTATAGCATGCATTACCATATCAGATCAAGTTTGCTTCATAGATCTCTGAAGTTCCCCTCAGTCCTCAGGTCAGCCTGCTCTCAGGAAGTGACATATTGTGGCTCCTATGATTGCTTTGGTTTAGATCCCTGGCCTTGCCTGGGTGTAGAGGGGCAGCAGGCAGGACCAACTGAGTCTACTTAGTATCTTTTATACTAAGTTACAGTGTAGCTGTTGCTCTACCTCTCTATCTTTGCTCCCCATTCCAGAGGAGATTTGGTTTGAACAAAAGGCTTTATCTCTAAAAATAGTTTAAAAAACAGTGTATCAAATAGTCCTTAAGATACTTTCTAGTTCTAATTTTCTGTGAAGTTAAGAAAGCAGTTTTAAAGAATGGATCCCACTATATTTACTTTGAAACATCATCTTTTAAATTTGCTGCAAAATATTTTTAAATTGAGAATTTCAGAATGAGCCTCCAAGAGCAAAATCCATGTTAAAAATCTATGAGTAGTTTGAAATGGTAAAGTATGAGGCAAACGGCATGGTTTCTATTTTATTTGGCAGAAAATGTATAATTAACTTTATTCATGATTCATGATCCTAATTTTTAAAAACATGTTTTCTTTTTATTCCTTCTGAGATAAGTGTAAGATAACATTATTCACAGTCAGAAGTCACTAGAATATACTTTATAACAGAAAAGTACTACTTCTGGCTGGGCACGGTGGCTCATGCCTGTAACCCAGGCTTTTGGGGGGCCATGGTGAGTGGATCACTTGAGGTCAGGAGTTCGAGACCAGCCTGGCCAACGTGGCGAAACCCCGTCTCTGCTAAAAATATAAAAGCTGGGTGTGGTGGTGCACACTTGTAATCCCAGCTACTTGGGAGGCTGAGGCAGGAGAATCACTTGAACCTGGAAGGTGGAGCTTGCAGTGAGCTGAAATTGCACCATTGCACCCCAGCCTGGGTGACAGAGTGAGACTCTGTCTCAAAAAAAAAAAAAAAAAAAAGTACTACTCCTTAAAGACATCATGAAGTTCATTTTCCATCTGTTCTTTTTCTCTTGAAAGTTTATCACATCCACTGACAGAACACATCTGCTGTTCCTGTTTCTTTTCCTCCATGACAGTTTATCAGTAAGGTGACTGGATGATAGAGAAAGAGAAAGAATGTTTAGCTGTAAGGTTTGCTTTAATTTGAGTTCATTTTGCCCCATATTTTGGGGGACATTTATTTAAAATTGGTGCTCAGTATGCAATAATTGATGCACACATTCCAACACTGGTCATTTATTGATGGGCTATTAATAAAGGCTGTAACTAAAAGGGACCATCACTGCATAGCAGCTCTGCCCGATAGAACTTTCTGTGATGATGGAAATATTCTACATCTGTGCTGAGCAATACGGAGCGCTTGGTATATGCCTAGTATAATTAATCCAATTTTAATGTTAATTAAATTAATTTAAACTTAATTTACCAAATGTGGCTACTGGTTATCCTATTGGATAGTGAGAATCAATTAAATTAGAAAAAATCCCCTATGCTTAGGAAATGAAAGTATTCAATTGCATTTTTTACTATTGGCACTTTTATGGCCTGAAATAGATTATAAAGTTTTGCACTTTGTAAGTTTTTTGTTTGTTTGCTTGCTTGCTTGTTTGTGTTTTGAGACAGAGTCTCGCTCTGTCATCCAGGCCTCCCAAAGTGCTGGGATTACAGGCAAGATCCACCACTCCGGCTGCTTTTTAAATTTTTTTAATTGCAAATCTCCTCAGTGCCTAGCGTATGAAAGAGTCAACACATGACTAGCTGCTATAAGATAGGTTCCCCTCCTCTGCACCCCAGATCTCCCCAGTTCATGCATCCTGGTTAAGGTCACTGAAAAAATTTTCCCCGAAGATTGTCAGAGCTGTAGCTCTGGCCTTCACAGCAATCCTGGTTCTTCTGGAAGTTAAGAGTTAAGCGGTATCTATTTTACTATGAATTCTGCTGTCTATTGTCTGACTTCTTTATTTCCATGCTCAGCACCTACTCGGTCAGGGCTGAGGTAGCTTCCAGACTTTCAGTCTTTACTCCACGATGGTCTAAGCCGAGGAACCCTGAACACTTCCTACAGGGCCTAAAGCTGCCCTAGAGCCCTTGAATGTCTGTAGCCATCTGGTTCGCTCTACCATATGCTGATCTATGTTCAGTTTGTTTCATGCAGTGTTGGCTCCTAAAATGGGTATCACCAAGCTGGACTGTGACTAATGCGAGGGATCTGAATCATGCCAAGTGATAGTTCATAGCCGACAGGACTGAGAATGCATCACTTAGAGGATGTCATTGCACAGGCACTCTTTATTTAACATACATTTATTTGTATTGTGCTAGGCACCGGGCTAAGGGCTTTTAATCTTCATAGCAACTGCATGTCCTATTATTTATACATTTTAGAGGTGCACTTTGGCTCAAAAAAGGATGTAGTGACTTTCTCCACGTCACCTAGCTAGGGAGAAGCAGCAGCAGACGTGTGCTTCCTGTCTACACTGTGGCTCTGAAGCTTGCATTCTTAACCACAAAGCAAATCATTATAGAAGAGAAAAAATATATATATATTTTTTTGAGATGGAGTTTCACTCTTGTCGACCAGGCTGGAGTGCAATGGCACAATTTTGGCTCACTGCAACCTCTGCCTCCCAGGTTCAGTGATTCTCCTGCCTCAGCCTCCCGAGGAGCAGGGATTACAGGCATGCACCACCATGAGCCACTAATTTTTGTATTTTTAGTAGAGACGGGGTTTCACCATGTTGGTCAGGCTGGTCTCGAACTCCTGACATCAGGTGATCCACCCGCCTCTGCCTCCCAAATGCTGGGATTACAGGTGTGAGCCACCTCACCCAGCCCCCAACCGACTAATTTTTGTATTTGTAGTAGAGATGGGTTTCGCCATGTTGGCCAAGCTAGTCTTGAACTCCTGACCTCAGGTAATCCACCCGCCTCTGCCTCCCAAAGTGCTGGGATTACAGGCATGAGCCACAGTGCCCAGCCAGAAGAGGAATAATTCTTTAAAATCAGTGCAGAGGGCAAATCTAAAAGAAACTGGAATTTAGGAGACTATAAGGAAGAATTTTCTAATAATTCCAGCTGTTCACCATGAAACATTTCATTAGCAGTTTGCAAGCTGAGGCTTATTGCCCATGGATCAGGAAAATAGTAGAAGGCATTCTCAAATAAGTGGGAGCTCAGAAGTGGTAAATGAGCTCTGTTGGTCTTTCCAATTCAAATTTGTAAAATTTACTCTCTTGAGGACATTTCTTATAGTCAGTTTCTTCTCATATGACTTTTTCTTTTTCCATTCAATTCATAAAGACCTTCTTTTTTGGTATAAAGCCAGAATGCAACTTATTCATGACTGAAATTGGCATAAGCAGGGTGTCCTCAGACTGTAAGCGAGCCTGTATAGGAATCCACATCATGTTTTGCTGAGAAAGAGAGTGGCCTGGATCACGGAAATTCAAAGATGATTGAAAAAGCATTTTCAGCACTTGGAAAACTTTATTTCATTTAATTAGATATTAATGATCAGTGAAAGAACACATAAGGGTAGAAGATAAAAATGTCATTAGATTCCAAGCCCAGTGCCTTCAATAATTGAGTGTGTGCTATTACTCTTTTACTATGGTCCTTAGTATTGTGATGTGCCCCTTAATTATTTCTGATATGCTTTATATGTGCCTTTATTTTCCAGGTGTTAATTAATGTGTTTTTTTTTTAAAGAAACGCATTTTCTGCTTTTAGAGAAAATGTAGTAAATATACTAACATTCCAGTTTTGATATTTGCTTGCTTTTTTAAAAGTATGTCTAGTTTCTCTAATTAAAATATAAATAGTATTGTACATATCATTGAGGATGACTTTATGGGAAATTATGGGACTAGAGAGTTTTTCTTCTCTCTTATGAGCCTTCGGGATTTGCTTTCGGAAAAAGTAATCAATATTTACTTTCATTCTGCTCACCTCACTTTTCTCCTCAGCTACTCCCTATTGTACCACCTCCACCAGCCCTCCCACTCTTCCACCAAATCATGTAATTTGTGCCAGTGATTGGAAGACATTTGCATACATAATCCCAGGGGGCCTAATATCTACAGATGCTTCCATGGAGATAGTTGTAAATTATGATTATGGAGAGAGTTTTCATTCTTGAAATAATTATCACGAGATAAGCCTCAGAGAGGAAATAATACATAAAGATGTGGCACATATGAGGTGACAATTGGGCTAGAATAACTGGAAGGATTGAATGACAAGTACAAGGGTGATCTGTATTTCAGAAGATGAGGGAGACCTAGGAGTTGCAATGTGTCAGGATATTTTAGGCTGGGAGTCTAGAAGGAAGGTTCCACTTGAAGTATAGGTCTTAAAGAAGTCTAGGAGATTTCTAGAGAAGGGAAAGAACAAAAGCAGAGAAGTGAACTGAAGGGCATGTTTGGGGAACACCAAGTAGTTTCATTTACAGCAGAGTTCAAGAAGAGAAAAAAGTTAAGGAAGAAAAGTAAGTTCAGGGCTATACCGTGAAGATCCTTAAGTATCAGAGTAAACAGTTTGTAATCAGCCTGTGTGGGGAAGGGGTTTGAGGCTCCTTCCTCTCAGGAGGTTGGTATTTTTCATTAACTCTGCCATGTGTCTGTACTGTCTCTCCCCTACAGGTAAGGTCTTTTGTCACATTTATTTTGATTTATAGCACGAATGCTGAAAATTCCAGATTTGTTTAATATATTGGTTTTTGGCTATATATAAATCACTGTGACTATATAGTTCCCTTTACATTTTATGTACTGATGTTTATTTCTGGTACTATATGTAATAAATATTTAAAAAGTTTGCTTCATGCATTATACATATGTCAGTGTGTACATGGTTTCTGTAAGCTGAGTTAGTTTAAGAGTACATTTGCTTAAAGCAGGTAACAAGTCTTCTTTCTACATATTTCAAATTCAATAAATAATTAACACGTTGCCAAATCAGGTCTCATTTTTTCTAATTTGAATTCAGCCATGAATTCATTTCTTGGAACTAAAACACCCTCAACAATCCATCTCTTTCTGTTCCCTTCTGCTTTATCTTACAGATGAGGAAACCAGGGTCATCTCAAAGTCACACAATCAGTTAACTGGCAACGCCAGGGCTAAAGCTGAGTTATCTGGTATCTTTCTACCATACACCTCTTCTTATCTGAAAGTGACTAACAAAAAGCAAAGCACGTGGCCAATGCACATGTACAATTTAAAAAGTTAATTTCATAGACCACATCAAAAGGAACCAGTGAATGTTATAATTTGGATGCAGTGGTTATACTTTTATTTGTTAACAGCATTACATTAGCAGGCATGCAACATTTCTAACAAATCAGTTATTGTTATTACAAGTGGTACCCCCAAGTTCCCCCTAACAAAAACCTGTGGCAGTGTTGGGAACAAAGAGAAAAACACTTCACAACGGGAACATTTTCTATCCTCCATATGGGTACATTATTTTTATTTATAATTGACTGTAAACACCGCTCCCCCCACAAAATTTCTAAGCTCCCCCCAACTGACTGATTGAACACCTCCACCAAGCGGATTCCAAAGAAACTTGAAAAACTAGTTCAGGCCATGCTGGGAAAGGGAAGTCAGACATGCCTCATTATACTTTCCTCTCTTTGGAGTTCAGGCACAACTGACCAGTATTATTATTAAAACAAGAGATCTTCATACCGACATAACAGACTCTTCTTAGCAATAAGATACCAAAATTCCAACATGACTCTAGTATAGCATCACATGAAAGATAGCAGGCCCTAAATCAAAGCATTTTACCCTAAAATAAATTTCTTTGACACTTTTTGAAATGGCCCTACACAGCCATCTCTTGTGGGGAAAATCTACATTCTATAGAGACTCCCTTTCCCTTTCCAGGTCTTTTCCTGATCCAAGAGATATTTAACTAAGAGTCTGGCATCTTTTTACACATGATAAGAGACATTTGCCAATTATTCTCTCTGAAGCCTGTTACGTATGAGACTTCGTCTACATAATAAGAACCTTGGTCTCCACCTTATCTTAACC
This sequence comes from Homo sapiens, assembly GCF_000001405.40. Lineage (NCBI taxonomy): Eukaryota > Metazoa > Chordata > Mammalia > Primates > Hominidae > Homo > Homo sapiens. The sequence goes on along the minus strand of NC_000010.11, from coordinate 17,202,706 downwards.
CAGACACATTCCTTTCTATTGATTCCAGGTCTTTAGGTCACAACTTAACTCTTTCAACCAACTGCCAATCAGAAAATCTTTGAATCCACCTGTAACCTGGAATCCTTCCCCTTTTTGAGTTGTCCCATCTTTATGGACCAAACTAAGTACACCTTCCATATACCAGTTAATGTCCTTATGTCTCCCTAAAACCATATAATCCCAAGCTGTAGCCCAACCACCTTGGGTACATGTTGTCAGGACCCTGTGGGGTTGTGTCATGGGTCACGGTCCTCACCTTGTGCTCAGAATAAACCTCTTCAAACATTTTACGGAGTTTGGCTTTTTTCGTCAACATGAGCCTCTAACAGTTGGTTACTGGATCATCCTGAGGAATCAAGGCCATAGCACTTAAAGACCCATAAATAATCCTACATGATATTCACTGTGTATTCTATGTAGGTGTAATTTCCAAGCTAAAACATAATTAACCCCACTAATAGACACAACAAACATCCTCTGTATTATCAGCACGCACACAGGGCTTTCTCTGCTGCGAGTGGACTTGTGTCCTTACTTATAATTCTGGAATCTTCTCTAGGGGAGAGGCTGGTCTAATTTCTCTCTATTGACCCAGGGCAGGCAGGAAACAAGGCACACTGTGGAAAGAATGTTTGAATGTTCAGGCTTCTAAGTGACAGAAAAGCAGCTTGTCTGAAAAATGATTTTTTTCTGGCTTCTAACCAGTGTTAATTCACTTGGAAACCAAGGCAGTTTTCTCCCCTTTACTGAACTCTGGATTTCTTTTCCAATCAAGGCCCCTGACACCAAAGAAGGAAATGGAGCGTAAATCAGGCTACAGAGTGGCTGCCATTCATTCGGGAAGCCTTATTGTTTTCCGTCCTTTGTTCCCCTCTAGACCCTTGCCAATCCCCAGGCCGCGAGGCCCTCTGAAGCCCTGAGCCTGGAGCGGTAGGAGACGGGGGAACTGAAACGCCGCGGAACCAGAGGCTGAGGGAGCGGCGCGATGGAGGGAGGAGGAGCGACGGACCGGCAGGCCTAGCTCCGGGGCTGCGGCGGCTGAGGCGCGGGGATGGAGCCCCTGCGGGTGCTGGAGCTATACAGCGGCGTGGGCGGCATGCACCACGCGCTGAGAGGTGAGAGTCCATCTAGCACCCCTCTCTCTATTCGCTCACGGGGGCTGGTTGGAGCACCCGCGCCGGGAAGGGGCGGAGCGGCGAGACGCAAGGGGCGGACACTGTGGGGCGGACACTGTGGGGCGGCCCTCGGTTGTCCTGGAAACAGCTCCTGCGCGCCGCCGTGTCCACCCCTCCAGACGCTGACTCCCTTCTCCTGGCGCCGAGTCTGGCTCGAGGGGCCGCACATGGCGCCTCAAAGGGCCCAGTTGGGAGTCGGGATTCGCAAGGCAGTAAATCAACCTCAAAGGGTATCAAAGGGGCGAGACCCTCGCCTGGTGCCAAGCCCCCATTCTAAGTGTGCAGCCACCGAGAAGCATGGAGACTCGGTCCTTCATCCTGGGGGGCTTCCCAGCTGGGGAGGGAGGGAGTGTCAGGGGCTCCCCTGGTGAGAGATGGATCTTGGAAGGGATAATAGCTACAATTCAAGGTAGAAGTTTGCGAATGCTAAATAGGATGGTAGAGGAAGCTTGAAGAACTTGGACGTCTGATCGTTGGAAAGAAACGTGTCTTCTGTAGTTCTGCGTTTAGATGCCAGAGAACTGAGTTCCAGCTTGGTGGCAGTGTGACGTTGGGCTACTTCGTGAACAGTGATGAACCTGTTTCCTGGTTTTAAAAGAGAATGATTATTATAAGGATTAAAGTCTGTCAAGTGCTTGTTAGTGCCTGATACATTGTAACCACTCCAAATATTATACATTATTATCACTATTACTTTAAAACGACATCACGAGATATTATCAAGCAAACTATTACTTTTATGCACGTCTTTGATTTTGAGGTTTTTGATTTCTTTCATGCTGAGTTGGAACTGAAAGTTTTACTTTTGGTGATATTCACTCAAAATTATTTATTGAGCTCCTATTCTGTGCCAGATTTTGTGCTAGGAGCTGGGGATACAGAATGACAAACAGGCTTTGAAGGTGCATGTTTATTCTTAAATTACTAAGACAACCACCGAACTGAAACTTCCCTGCTTCCTTATTTAGGACCAAGAGTAACAAGAGTAACTGTAAGATACAGACAATATTTAATGGGTTTAGCGTATAAGTTTTTTGAGCAGATTTATTGAGTTTCAATTCTAGACTAGGTTAATGATCATTAAGTTTTTAGTACTTGTTTGCCGGCTATCTTTATTTCTCATTTTAAAACTTAGCAGCATCAAAGCAAAACTCTAGTACTATTTACTCTTTGTTAATTCTCTAAAGTGATATAATGTCCGCGTTTTCCCATATCTTGAAACTCCTTAATGAATTGCTTAGTACTTTATCATAAGCTGTAATTCAGCCATTCCTTAAGTGTCGAATATTTAGATCATTCTTCAGTTTTTTTGCAAGTACAGTGTGCTACAGTTACATTCTTGAGCATAATGCCGATTTTCTCTTTAAGCATGTTTACTAACTGTTGGAATTAATTCAACAGTAAGACTTAACTGTGTGCTAGTTACTAAGTGAAAAACAGAATTTTTAAGGCTTTTGAGAGAGAGGATAGCAAATTGCTTTTCAGAGATTTTTGAGTGCCTTAACTACATATTCATCAGGGATATGTATTATCAATTTTTAATCCTTGCTAATTTGTTAGGGGAAATTGTGTAATTTTAAGTGACAGTTTTGGGATTAATGAAAGAGTAAAATATTTTCTCTCCTATTAGCCAATGCAATGTGAATTTGTACACGTTTTTCTATTGCCAGTTCTACTGTTGTGAATCCAAGCTATTAAGTTCTGTAATTTAAATTATTAACATAGCTTCCCAGCTTCTCTCCTTACTTCCATTCTGCCTCCCTACTCCGTTTTCCTTCTAGCAGGCAGCATGATCATTTGCACAGTAAACCAGATCATGTTACTTCGTTGCTTAAATGGTTGCTTTTGAGATTGTAATCACAGTCCCATCTTAACAGGCTTGTGAGTTCTGGCTTCTGTCTTCTCTTCAATTTTATCTGCCACTCTCCCTTCAGCATCCCGCTTCACCGTCAACACCCAAAGCTGAAATTCTAATTAAACGATTCCCTGAATTCTTTCCTCAGCCTTTCTTGTCGAGGCTTACTGTTTTTCTTTCTCTCTACTCCTCAAACCCTCGAAGTTCTTCGATGTTCTGGCCTTTGCTTTTGCTGTTGCCTCATCCAGAGTGCTCCCTAACCCCAGACTTTTTCACTCTAGCTTCGGTTCACATTTCATGTCTTAGTTCATATATTGGCCTTCCCTGGCTGACCCTGTGATCCAAAGCAACTTTCCTGCCTCCCTGTACCTCTCTGCTCTCTCATCTTTTCGGTGGAAATCTGCATATTAGGGATATAGACTCTTAATCATATTGATGCAAATATTTTTCCACACTTGTTTGCCTTCCCATGTTCACTTATTTGATGTACTAAAGTTTAAAATTTACCTGTAATAAAATGCATTGCTCCTTTCCAGGTGGTTTTTAATATAATAATAAAGACTAATAACAGCAGCTAACTTTAGTGTTTATTAGGGATCTTTTAAATTCAGGTCCTTTTTTAAGTATGTAATAAACTAGTTAGCGGTAGAACTGGTATTTTAACCTAGGTCTACCTACCTGACCTTTTAACTATGCTATGTTGCCGTTGTTCTGGTTAGAACTACTAACTTCCTTGGATCTATACATTAAATAATATAATAAGCAGCACAAAAGGAATAATATTGAACTTCATTTTTGACTGATTTCTAGATAAGGTTCATAATGGAATTTTTTTATTGTGGTAAAACACAACATGAAATGTATCATTTAAACTATTTTTAAATGTATAGTTCAATGGCATTAAGTACATTCACAATGTTGTGCAACCATCACCCTTGTTCATTTCTAAAACTTTTTAATCATCTCAAACAGAGCTCTGTACCTGTTAAACAATAACTCCAAATTCCCTTTCCCCCCAGTCCCTGGTAACCTTGATTCTGCTTTGTCTTTATGAACTTGTCTACTCTGCGTACCACACATAAGTAGAATAATACATTTGTCCTTTTGTGTCTGGCTTATTTCACTTAGAATAATGTCTTCAAAGTTCATTTATTTTGTAGCCTGTATCAATATCTCAGTTCTTTTTGTGGTTGAATAATATTCCATTGTATAGCTGTACAATTTTGTGTATCCATTCATCTGTTGATAGACACTTGAGTTGTATCAATTACCTGCTGACCATTGTGAGTAGTGCTGCTTTGGATATTGGTATATAAGTATTGTTTGAGTCCTTACTTTTAAGTTTTGGGGTATAGACCTAGCAGTGGAATTGCTGGATCATATGATAATACTGTGTAACTCTTGAGGAACCACCAGCCTGTTTTCCGCAGCAGCGGCACAATTTTCCATTGCATGAGCACTCCGTTTCCTCTACCTCCATATTCTCCACTTGTTATTCCATTTTTTAAAAATAATAGCCATTCTGATGGATATGAAATCATATCCTATTGTGGTTTTGATTTGCATTTTCTTAATAACTAAAGATGTTGAGCATCTTTTCTTTTTCTTTCTTTTTTTTTTTGAGATGGAGTTTCGCTCTTCTTGCCCAGGCTGGAGTGCAGTGGCGCGATCTCAGTTCACTGCAACCTCCGTCTCCCGGGTTCAAGCGATCTTCCTGCCTCAGCCTCCCGAGCAGCTGGGATTACAAGTCCCTGCCACCATGCCTGGCTAATTTTTTGTATTTTTAGTAGAGATGGGGTTTCACCATGTTGGCCAGGCTGGTCTCGAACTCCTGACCTCAGGTGATCCACCCACCTTGGCCTCCCAAAGTGTTGGGATTACAGGTGTGAGCCACTGTGCCGGGTTGTTGAGGGTCTTTTCATGTGCCTGTTAGTCATTTGTTTTCTTCAATACAGAGAAGTGTCTGTTCAAGGCCTTTGCCCATTTTGGAATTTTCTTTTTGTTATTGAGTTGTAGGCTTTATATATTCTGGATCTTAATGTCTTATTGGATATATGATTTGCAAATATTTTTCCCCACATTACTGAATTTTCAGTTATAAAAAGTATATTTAATTTCTTTAGCAACATGATAGATTTGCCTCAAACCCAGTGAACATTTAAAAAATATGTCAATAAAAGTTTTTCATCCTTATCAGCATATCCAGTATGCTGTTGCATTTTTACAGTCACTACATAGATGCTTCTGTATTTTCTAAATTTCATTTAACTTTATTTATATCTATTTTCCCATGTATTTACATGGCTTAAATGTAACATTCTTTGCTGTTCCTTTCTGTTCCTGTACAGCCTCTAGCACAGTACCACACTCTTTCTAGCTTACTATTGAGGTTACTATTGAATTGATAATCCTTCTGCTATCGTTTTATCAAATGATGAAGGTTTATTTAGCCCAGATTCTTTTTTTGTATTATATGTAGTTCTTAGTTGCAACCCACAGAATCCACTCTAGCTAACATAATCAGGAAAAAAAAAATTAAAAACATTTGGAAACTCACAGAATCTCCAGGACACCCAACAAACAGGTTAGGTGAACAGGAGCACTGCCCACACTATAGTGTGGGTATGGCCACAGTGAAGCTTTATCCCGACATCACAGCTTACACCAACAGTGCTGGGTTCTGGAAGCCAGAAGTGCTGTCGCAGTTTTCCCTTGAGAGGTGGATGCCTCTTACCACCTCCCTTGCCAGAAAGATGGGTTTCCTCGTTTGTTTAAGTTCTTCCATTGCTACCTCTGAATTGAAGTCTCTCCTCACACTGCTAACTCTAAACTGAGGTCTTATCATGTGGATGCAGGTGGTTGGTAGACACTAGATACCACGGCCAGACAAGGGAAGCTGAGAAGGTGAGTTCTGGCTTCTATTTGGGGAAGGAAGGATCCATACTGTGGCAAATTTTCAAACACAGGAAACATAGGCAAAGATTCTAGATGGCCACAGTATAACAATGTCTATTACATTTTTAAATACATATTTGACCTATACAGAAACTACTTATGTGTACTTTGATATTTATGTCTGCACAGTCTACAAAGTTTTGGCTAATGAGAATCTTCCAAGTGAAAATATCTTCTTTCAGAAAGCAGTGGAAGAAGTAGTGTCACAGGTTATATATCAGTGGAGCCTGCAAGGTCACCTGCAAATATATGCAAATAAGATTCTGTATTTTTCTCATTTTAAAATGTAGTATCAGGAGAAGAGTAAAGTGTGGTTTAAGGTGGTGAATAAAGGAAAGCTCTAGCTGGATGACTGTTTTCTATATAGTCAAATATTGGAGTCAGCCTTAAAAGCAAAAAGGCCTGTCTGCCAAATAGCTTCTAAAGCTCTTCCAAGGAGTTGGCTTTGAGTTTTACCCCATAATACTTCATTGTGTTTAGTAAGAATTACTCAGCCTTAATATTTTCTTTTAAAATGCTAAGCATCTCATTTGTCACGTATTAATTATTCATTTTCTGAATCTCTTTTGTCTTTGTTCCTCAACGACTTACATGCCAACTTGGGAGTCTACTAGACCAGCTTGTAACTGGGTGTGTTTGTAACTGAATCAGGCAACTACATTACGATGAAGTGTATTTGTATGTAGATATGAATGTCACCTAAGGATATTTTTATAGCATCAGTTGTTAGGGGCTGGCCTATGAACCGCTTAATTTTTTTTTCAGTTATACATACCTGTCTTTGGGATTATAAAATTTTCCTTTTCATGCCTCTTTCCTTCTAGTTACTCTTATATAGCAAGTCATATTTAAAGTGAAGCAACGTAAAAAGTTGTCCTATTAAAATAAATTTATCATTTCTTCTCTGGCAGCTGTGGAAGTTAATAAACTTGAAATACAAAAAAGAAATACGTAAGATGAATTTTGAGTATTCAGTAAAAGAGAACTTTAACTTCCCATTAGACAATTGAATTACTTATCTTTTCTTGTGAGGAATAATGTGTGCTTACTTCACTGCAAAGTATTTTTTGGGGTTAGGGGTAAATTTTTTTTTTTTCAGCTTCTAGATTCAAGGGGTACATGTGCAAGTTTGTTACTTAGGTATATTGTGTGATGCTCAGATGTGAGGTATCAATGATCCCACCACCCAGGCACTGAGCATAGTACCCACAGTTAGTTTTTTAACCTTTGCTGCCCCCCTTCTCTCTCTAGTAGTCCCCGGTGTCTATTGTTGCCATCTTTTTGTCCATGAGTATCCAATGTTTAACTCCCACTTATTAGTGAGAACATGAGGTATTTGGTTTTCTGTTTCTGTGTTAATTCACTAAGGATAATGGCCTCCAGATGCATCCATGTTGCTACAAAGGATATGATTTTGTTCTTTTTTATGGCTGCGTAGTATTCCAATGGTGTATATATACCACATTTTCTTAATTCAGTCCGCCATTGATGGGCACGTCTTTGCTATTGTGACTAGTGCTGTGATGAACATGCAAGTATATGTGTCTTTTTGGTAGAATGATTTTGCTTTCTTTTGCATGTATACTCAGTAATGAGCTTGCGAGGTTGAATGGTAGTTTTGTTTTAAGTTCTTTGAGAAATTTCCAAGCTGCTTTCCACCATGGCTGAATTTATTTACATTCCCATCAACAGTGCATAAGGGTTCCCTTTTCTCCGCAGCCTTGCCAGCATCTGCGTTTTTTTTTTTTTTTGACTTTTTTTTTTTTTTGAGTCGGATTCTTGCTTTGTTGCACAGGCTGGAGTGCAGTGGTGCAATCTTGGCTCACTGCAACCTCTGCCTCCCGGGTTCAAGCTATTCTCCTGCCTGAGCCTCCCTAGTAGCTGTGATTACAGGTGCCCACGACCACGCTTGGCTAATTTTTGTATTTTTAGTAGAGACAGGGTTTCACCATGTTGACCAGGCTGGTCTGGAACTCCTGATCCCAAGCAATCCACCTGCCTCGTTCTCCCAAAGTGCTGGGATTACAGGCATGAGCCATCACGCCTAGCTTTTTATTGACTTTTTAATCGTAGCCATTGTGACTGGTTTGAGATGCTGTCCTATTGTGGTTTTGATTTGCATTTCTTGAAGATTAGTGATGATGACTATTTTTTTTCATTTTGTTGATGGGCCACTTCTTTTGAGAAGTATCTGTTCATGTCCTTTGCCTAGTTTTTAAGTGGGGTTGTTTGTTTTTTGCTTGTTCAGTTGTTTAAGTTTCTTTTAGATTCTGGATACTAGACCTTTCCCAGATGCATAGTTTGCAAATATTTTCTCCCATTCTGTGAGTTGTCTGTTTACTCTGTTGATAGTTTCTTTAGCTGTGCCGAAGGTCTGTAGTTTAATTAGGTCCCACTTGTCAATTTTTGTTTTTGTTGCAATCGTTTATGAAGACTTAGTCATAAATTCTTTTCCAAGGCCAATGTCCAGAGTGGTGTTTCCTAGGTTTTCTTCTAGAATTCTTATTGTTTGAGGTCTTACGTTCAAGTCTTTAATCCATCTTGAGTTAATTTTTGTATATGGTGAAAGGTAGGGGTCTAGTTTCATTCTCCTGCATATGGCTAGCCAGCTATCCTAGCACCGTTTATTAAATAGTGAGTCCTTTCCCCATTTTTTTTGTCTACTTTGTTGAAGATCAGATGACTGTAGGTGTGTGCCTTTATTTCTGGGTTATCTATTCTGTTTCGTTTGTCTGATATGTCTGTTTTGTACCAGTACCATGCTGTCTTGGTTACCGTAGTCTTATAGTATAGTTTGAAGTCCATTAATGTGATACCTCTGGCCTTGTTCTTTTTGCTTAGGATTGCTTTGGCTATTCAGGCTTTTATATGGTTCCATATGAGTTTTAGAATAGTTTGTTCCAATTTTATGAAAAAATGATGCTAGTAGTTTGACAGGAATAGCACTGAATCTGTAGATTGCTTCAGGCAGTACTACCATTTTAACAACATTGATTTTTTGAATCCATAAGCATGGGATGTTTTTCCATTTGTTTGTCACCTGTATGATGTCTCTTAGCAGTATTTTGTCATTCTCCTTGCAGAGATCTTTCACCTCCTTGGTTAGATGTATTCCTAGGTATTTTTATATGTTTTTTGTGGCTGTTATAAAGAAGATCACATTCTTGATTTGACTCTCAGTTTGAACATTATTTGTGTATAGAAATGCTTCTAATTTTTGCACATTAATTTAGTATCCTGAAGCTTTGATGAAGTCATTTATTAGTTCCAGTAGACTTTTGGTGGAGACTTTAGAGTATTCTAGGTATAAAATAATATCATCTGCAAAGAGAGATCGTTTGACGTCTTCTCACTCTGTCACCCAGGGTGGAGTGCAGTGGCTTAATCTTGGCTCACTGCAACCTCTGCCTCCTGGGTTCCAGCGATTCTCCTGCCTCAGCCTCCTGGGTAGCTGGGACTACAGGCATGCGCCACCATGCCTGGCTAATTTTGTATTTTTAGTAGAGACGGGGTTTCACCATGTTGGCCAGGCTGGTCTCGAACTCCTGACCTCAGGTGATCAGCCCACCCCAACCTCCCAAAGTGCTGGGATTACAGGTGTGAGCCACTGTGCCTGGCTCCTTTATTTCTTTCTGTTGAGGGATTGCTCTGGCTAGTACTTCCAATACTATGTTGAATAGAGTGGTGAGAATGGGCATCCTTGTCTTGTTTCAGTTCGCAAGGGGAATGCTTCCATCATTTGCCCACTCAGTATGATGTTGGCTGTGGGCTTGTCATAGATGCTCTTATTATTTTGAGGTATGTTCCTTTGATGCCTACTTTCTTGAGGGGTTTTTATCATGAGGAAATGTTGGATTTTATTGAAAGCTTTTTCCACATCTTTTGAGAGGATCATATGGATTTTGTTTATTCAGTGTACCTTGATGTTCAAATACGTTTAGAAACTCTCCACACAACATCTTTCCTTGAGACCTTCTCAAGACACGTGAAATGTATCAGGTTTTGAGAAGTAAAGAAGCTGTTTGGCTTAAAACAGTGCTTCCCATATGTATTTATATTTGGGCAAGGACCCTGCTGCTCCTGCCCCTCGCCCACCCTTTTGTTTTGCGGGGAAGGAGAGCACACCTACATTGTGAAAACAGTGCTCCTTAGTGCGTGTTTCCGGAAATGTCTGATGGGCAACAAAAGGGCAGTGATGGAGCTGAGGGAGATGCTGGGGTTGTGAAAGAAAAGATGCGCCAGGGCTATACATATTAGCCAACTATGTTCATAATTTGGACGAACTTTGAAATAAGCTTCTCTGTAATATTTCTATTAGGCAGGTATTGTCATTCTTACTATCTCTGTTTTCTCCTAGAATGCCCAAAGCTGAACTACTGGTCTCTGATCCCTTCCAAAACTTGCCACTCTTGTAACCTGCCTCACCCCAATAACAGGTGGCTTTGTTCTTCTAGTTGCCCACACCTGAGCCTTGGAGTCATCTTGTTTCTTCTTTTTCACCCACATCAGCCAGTTCTACAGGCTTTACCTTCAGACTATATTTATAACTCTATCATTTCTCTCCATTTTCACCTTTACCACCTGATCTATAATCTCTCTCCTGTCTTGTCAGACTTAATTTTTGCGCTGCCCGGATTTGCTTGGCCCCACCTGCCTCCTGGCCTGGGGCTGCTGGTTCAGTGTCACACCCTGACTAATGCCACCTTGCCTCATCTGACACTGTCAGGGGGTGATGGCCGAGCTTGACCCTCAGAATGATTGTCGACCCCTGTACCTGGACTCAGGTGAAGTGTCAGGCTGTGGGCATGCACTCTGTCTGCTCAGTAGCTGTCTTGAGGAGTCAGATCACAAAACCTGACTTGTGTGTGTAGGTAGCAGGGAGGTGGGGAGTCACGCTTTGGGGGGACTTTTGACCAATAACAGACAGGATGAGAAAGGAGCCAGAAGATACACTCTCTCCCTCCTCCCGCAATGGTGCTCCTTGCTCAAATGCCAGTGAGAAGATGGGAAGTGCTATTTCAGACCCAGTAGCGTCTCTACTGCAGGGCATCTCATCATCTCCCACAGCAGATACAGCCCTCCCCTGACAGCTCTGAGGTGTGGTCATCCCATCCAGCCTGGCTCTACCAAATCCCTCATTGCCAGAGCAGTTGGCTGGGTTTCTGGGAAGCATTGACCGACGTGCTAATGCACTCCCTCCTTCTCTGCCTCACTGCCCTAACTCTTGCCGCTTCGGAGTTTTCCTTCCAGATAAAGCATCTGCAGCTAAGCTTGGCCTGAGCTACTTTTCTGGGACCCTGGACAAAGCATTATTGCAGTAGCCTCTTTACTGATCTTGCTTCTGCTCTGGCATTGCAAGTTTGTTTTCAGTAGAGTGGCCAGAGTGATCTTTAAAAAATATATCTGATAAGTTATTACTGTGATTAAAACTCCTGAGGAGCTTCTCCGACCACTCAGAAACCAGAGTCCTGAATGGGTCCCCAGGCCTGCTTGGGCTAGAGACACTTTCTCTCTGGGGCCACATCTCCTGTGGCTGTCCCCTTGCTCACTCTACTCCAGGCTCCCTGGCCTCCTGGTTGTTCTTCCTACAAAACCAGCATGTTCCCATCTCTGGGCCTTTGCTGTGTCTCTTCTCTCTGTCCTAGAAAGTGCTTCTCCCTGATATCTGTCAGGCCCATCCCCTCATCTCTTCCAGGTTGCTGCTAAAGAGACATTCTGTAACCGACCTACATAAAACTAGAACCACTCCCTTCTCCCATGCTGTCTTGCTCTGGTTTTTAGTTTTCTCCATAGTACTTTTTATTGTTAGGCATAATTTAAACTTGTTTGTTTATTGTCTGTCTCTCTCCTCTAGAATGTAGGCTCCATGATAGGATAGGCTTTGTCTGGAATAATCCTTTTATATACTTGTTGAATGCGTGAATGAACAAATGAAAAAATGAACTATAGGCATGCTTGCTGTGAAATATCTGCAGCTTGATGTAGATATCATCCTTCTGTGATAAGTTTAAACTTAAGTATTAAGTCTGAATCATGAAGAGTTTTTGTAGGCATGGTTGTGTGTGAGATTTTAATAGATAACAAATATTTTTCTGTAATACATGATAAAACATTTTTGTTCTTTTTATTTAAAACATTTTAAATATTGTCAAAATAATCAGGGCTTTTGAGAATAAATTGGTCTTTACTCACTGTAAAATTTAAATCATATGCTAACAGTGAGCTATGGCCAAAATAATTAAGTTTAAGTGGTTTTTTTTTTTTTTTGCTCTTTTATTCCTGTCAAGAAATATGAACTCTTTATTTTTCAAAGTTGAAAAGAAGTTGATGTATGAGAGCAAATCTACACATAATTACACGGTGATTATTATCATAATGATAAATAAGGTCAAGGTTACATGTACAGTTTGGTGTCTGGAACCTTTTTAGAATCTCTGTTGCCTTTTGCTTTCCCATGGAACATTATCAGAAATATTGGTGAAAAGTGCTACCCAGGAATAGTGCCAACCAGCTCTCCTCTTGTCTAAAAGCGTAAAATTATATCTCATTTTTAGCGACTAGGTAAAGTGTATGTTGGAATTTTAAAAATTACCGTTACTTCGCCTGGACCAATGGTTTCTTTTACTTATATCCACTAATTATTTTCATTCTGAGACTTTAAATCAACACAAACCTAGCCAAACCCCTTTGTGTAAAGTAAAACAGCTCTATTAGAGAGCTGAACATTAATATTAAATAGTTCTTGTGCATCCATTACTGATTTTTGTTCAAACTCAATAATGAAGTTAATTACCCTCTAGTACTCAATGAATGAGACTCAAGAAACAAATGCCAGAGTCTTTTAGCACAAACAGGACCCCATAGACTTTGGCAGATGCCTTCATTAGAGTTGAATTTTGGTTCAAAAAGAACCTATAATTCAAAGGATTTGTAGTTTAAAAATTCTAGTTAAATTGAAATCATATGTTAGCATATGATTTTAAATTAACTAGAATTTTTAAAACTATGCTAAACTTTAATAGATCGCTAAGGTTTAGATGGTAATAAAGTACCAGAATAATTTCTCTGCTTCTTCAGAATGGATGTTTTTCTTGTGTTCTCAATTTATTTTTGTGTTATTGTTTGCTGAGATAATTGTTAAAACTATATTATTTGAATATTCAGATTAAATGATGTTCTTTGTTGATTGTGACTTAATCTCTAGCTTGTTCTCCATCCAGTGAGATTTCTTTTCATTAATTTTGAACTGTCAGAATGTTGGTACCATGGTTTGAAGAAAAAGCTGTGAATCTACCATTTTTCTAAATTTTTTATGGCTTTGCATATCCATATATGGCAAAGGCACTATATTTAAAATCCAAGGGTTTTTCGCTATGAAGACATCATCTTTTGCATTTCCTTCATGACTGTAAATTCAAAACGCTTGTGATCCCAGTATTTTAACTAAGAACAAAAACAAAATACAAATATATATACATACACTCTTATAGACATGTTTGGCATAAATTCTTCTATATGAGATATTCATTTTACCTGAAAAATTATACTTCAGAAAGAGAGTATGGCCTTATAATTTAGTCTTCTGAAAGGAAATCTCTTCATATTACTCAATTACTAAACTTTTCAAAAATAGCAAATCAATAAAGTACTGCTTGGATAAACTACATTAGCCTGAAGAAACTTAATATCATTTCTAGATGCTTATTGAGGTCACTCAATGGAATTGGCCAGAAACCATAGAAATGAATTTAAAGATCTAGAAGTAATTTTTAGGAGGATGACCTCACAATTACAAGTGTTGGATGTTATTGTAAACAAGCCTTTTGAAAATTACTTTATAAAGCAATACAGTAGGTGATTACTTCGCGGAAATCACAAATAGCTACTGGGTATTTGTGGTGGGCATAAAATTTCCAGTGACATCATTATACACGAACTCAAAAAGGGCTAGTTCTCAAGTAACTCTGACTGAAGGAAAGTTGGTGTGTCCTTGAACACTGTTAGATGATTTAAAAGGTGGCTCTGTTGATGATAGTGACCCTGATTTCAAAGAGGCACATGAGAAAGTAGAATAAAATCATTTCATGAACTTTGAGTAGAAAATATACAATATTTCCAAATGAACATGCTAAGATAGTGCTGTATAAAATATGTTGGAGGCTTCTCCTTGTGTGAAGCTCTGTGGGAGCAGGGATTCGTTGTTTTATCATCTCTGCCTGGAGCCAGAGCCAGCGCCAGCGTCAGTCATGCTCAATAAATATGTCTTGAATTCATAAATGAACCTGGTTATAAACTCACAGGAAATACTTGCTGAAAATATTTTGCAGAGCATGAATAAACACTTGACAGGGTTGGTAAAAGGTTTTCATAAGCATTGTCCCGTTCAGTAGTCAGGGGATAAATCCTTTCTCTATTTTTTAAAGATATTACCTGGAATTATATCTTTATAAATTCATAACAGATCCTAAAGATTACCTCAGATGGCTTCTTCAAGCACATATTTATTGAATACAAGCTAGCCAGACCTGTTAAATGGGATAAATACCCTTTTCCCTTCCCATGTTAACACCTAAGAGCTGTAATTCTTCATGCCAGTTAAAAAAAAGTTCAAAAAACAGAGTTTGTTTTACTAATGTAAAACATTAGTAAAATTAAGTTTACTAATGTAGAACTTAATTTTAATGTAAAAATAGTAATTAAACTGAATATAAAAAATAAAGTATGTTTAAATTATAAATTATACAATATGAAGTCATTTGACTATTTTGGCTACATCCTTAAACATTTATATAATGAAAATGGCCAGAAATCTAATTTTGGATATTTTCATGGGGAAAATAGGGGATTAACGTTTATTCTAGTTGTCTTATGTTTGGGCACATACAGTGGGTATGTGTGTAATGTATTTGTGTTTAGACACAGAAAAAGGTCAGGAAAGATGCACAGTGAACTGTTCTCAGTACCAAAACTTGTATCCTCTGCCCTGCCTCCCTATCCTCTGGCCTGTTTTGTTTTTCACTTTAACACTTATTACTGCCTATCATATTTTGTATTGTACTTGTTTATCTTTAAAATTGACTGCCTCCTCTTCTAGAATGTAAGCTCCTTGAGGGTGGGATTTTTTTGTTGCATTTTGTTCTATTTTGTTCACCACTGTATCCTTGGATCTAAAAGCACCATTGTATGTTGGATGCTCAACAAATATTTGTAGAATTAATGAATAAGCTATAGTACATGAACATTTTAAAGGTTGTTGATGATTGTCAAATTATTTTTTTAAAAGGACATACTAGTTTATATTCAGTAACGTCTCTGTGACCATAAATATGCCAATATAATATGTTAACCCATATAATTTACTAGGTGAAATTGTTATCTTAATTTTTGATTACTAGTGAAGTTGAATATTTAAAAATTATTATTATGTGCATTTCTTGTTTTTTATTTTTAGCAATATTAGTAATACATTTGTTAAAAAATTGGGACACACTGAAAATATTCATTTATTCAGTACATAACTATGGAGTGATTTTTCTTTGTTGCTTACTGTGTTGTATGGTGAGGATACAGCATTGAACGAGACAGTCATGTTCCTTTTTCCAGAGATTTTGCTCTACTGGGCAATACCAATGCTACACAAATAGAGAAGAAAATTTAAAAAACTCACCAATGATGCTAATGCATAAACACTGACATAACACTGGTGAAGACATAAACACTGGTGAAGGCTTAGATTAAAATCTTTATTCTAATGTGACCATGAACATTAAAATAAATTATAGCTTTCTTTCTTTACTTAGAATATCTTGAATATTTTCGCTTGCCATTAAATGTAGAATTTATAAACTTTTAATGGTTGTATCATACTCCACTTTATGAAAGTACAGTATTTGTTCGAATTAATCATCTATTCTGGGACATTCAGATCATTCATAAATTTGCACTATTATAAATAAAATAGCATCACTTATCCTATATATAAATATTTTCTTTACATCTCTAATTATTATCTATGTATGAGTTTCCTATTGCTGTTGTAACAAACATAAACTTAGTAGCTTAAAGCAACACAGGTTTATTATCTTATAATTCTGGAGGTCAGAAGTCTTAAAATCAAGTTATCAACAGGGCTGCATTCCTTCTGGAGGTTCTAGGGGAGAATTCATTTGCTTGGCTTTTCTGGCTTCTAGGGGCTGCCCATAGTACGTGGCTCATTATCCCTTTTTCTATCTTTGAAGCCAGAAGTGTAGCATCCCAAAGCCTTCTCTCTGACCTCTACTCCATCTCCAAATCCCCTTCTCTGATTTTAACCTTCCTCAGTCCTTCCTGTGATTATACTGGGCCCACGTGCATAATTCAGGATAATCTCCTCATCTCAAGTTTAATCACATCTTCAAAATCCTGATTCCCATGTAAGGTAACATTTTCACAGGTTTCAGGGATTAAGATGTGGATATCTTTGGGGATTATTATTTTGCCTATCACACCTTAAGAAATGTGCCAAAACATAAAACTAAAAAATCCAAAGTAATTTTTTGGGTTTTAAATGTATACCACCAAATATTCATTGAAATATTGACTGTTAATTGATGCTCACAACTGCATTGACCATATTTATTTATTTATTTATTTATTTATTTATTTATTTATTATACTGTAAGTTCTAGGGTACATGTGCACAACATGCAGGTTTGTTACATAGGTATACATGTGCCGTTGGTGTGCTGCACCTGTTAACTTGTTATTTACATTAGGTATATCTCCTAATGCTATCCCTCCTTCCTCCCCGCACCCCACAACAGGCCCCGGTGTGTGATGTTCCCACCCTGTGTCCAAGTGTTCTCATTGTTCAATTCCCACCTATGAGTGAGAATGTGTGGTGTTTGGTTTTCTGTCCTTGCAATAGTTTGCTGAGATTGATGGTTTCCAGCTTCATCCATGTCCCTACAAAGGACATGAACTCATCCTTTTTATGGCTGCATAGTATTCCGTGGTGTATATGTGCCACATTTTCTTAATCCAGTCTATCATTGATGGACATTTGGGTTGGTTCCAAGTCTTTGCTATTGTGAATAGTGCCGCAATAAACATACGTGTGCATGTGTCTTTATGGCAGCATGATTTATAATCCTTTGGGTATATGCCCAGTAATGGGATGGTATTTCTAGTTCTAGATCCCTGAGGAATCGCCACACCAACTCCCACAATGGTTGAACTAGTTTACAGTCCCACCAACAGTGTAAAAGTGTTCCTATTTCTCCACATCCTCTCCAGCACCTGTTGTTTCCTGACTTTTTAATGATCGCCATTCTAACTGGTGTGAGATGGTATCTCATTGTGGTTTTAATTTGCATCTCTCTGATGGCCAGTGATGATGAGCATTTTTTCATGTGTCTTTTGGCTGCATAAATGTCTTCTTTTGAGAAGTGCCGCACTGACGATTTTTAAATCACACCTGGTCCTTTCTAGCATTTGATATTCTCATTTTTAAAAAGTCTTTGCACTTTCAATAATAATAATGGCAAACATTTATTATATGCCAGACACTAATCAAATAGTAATCCCCAAAGATGTCCATGTCCTATTATAGTTATTAACTCATTTAATCCTCAGAAAATTCTATGGTGCGGGTACTTTATTATCCTCTTAATAGGTGAAGATACTGAGGCTTAAAGACACAAAGAAACTTGCCTAAATCACGCAACTGGAAATAGCCAAGCTAGGATTTAAATGCAGAATTCTAGCAGAGAAAGAGAGAAAGAAATACACAAACAGATATCCATATTCTAAATCTTCATCAGGACGTATGAACACACACACAAAATAAAAAATTCCATAAGACTGTCCCTAAGATAGCTTTGATAAAAAATAAAATAAGAATGCCTAATGCTGAATACTGTGTGGCTTAGTGGAAAAAGATTTGTAGAGAATGATATAGTTAGGAGGAGACTTGGAAAGGGGAAATGAGTGAGGCAGTTGAAGTGCATAGGTCTTATGACAAGCCTATACTTTCTGGCCTAGTGCAAAATTGTAAAACTTAACTCTCCTTTTAGAGGTATCTGTAGCAGAAATTATACTGCTAGTGTTTTGCAGGATAGGATTTGAAATTTTATTGAGTCAATAATGATGAAAATTAGAAGCTTTCAAGGAGGGCTAACTATAAAGCAAAGGAGGCTCAGAATGGGAAGACAAATTTAGAGAGGATTTTCTTAGGCTAATTTTAGGGATCTTTGTGAGTTAATTATTATATATATTATACTATATGTTATAAAATATTAAAATAATTATATTTTTACAAGTCTTTAAAAAATTCAGTTAACTAGATATAGAGTACTAATGTTTATGTCACTTCTCATTTTTTCATTGACTTTTCCATAAATATGTCAGAAATGATCACCTCATAAGTTATGAGAAAGCATCAGTAAAGAGGACCGTAAACATTTTATAGTAAGGAACCATTCATGAGTGGTCATTCACTCAAAACAAATGTATGTAAAACAAAATCAAAGTCTTTGTTGTTCACACCTGTAATTGACTGCATCACATGTGTTTCTATTATTTCTTGACTTTTTAAGTAGTTTATATCTTTTGACTTCTATAAGCATGTGAATAGGTTACTTTCAGCTCTACATTTTTTGGGCGTATGCTAGCTACTTGATGATCTTTAGAAGACTTTCATAAGGTAGTTTAATTTTTAGTTTTTCTTTTGATTATTGTTGAGTTAGCAGGTAAAATAATGCACTGAGTTACAATTGTTGTAATTATAATGAGTTATAATTGTTTACTGGTGTGTATGTGCCTGTGACAGGTCACAGCACAATTGGCATGCCTTGAGAAAAGAGCCAAACCTTTCTTGTCTGACCTTGTTACTTTCCTTTTGTTGTTTCTCAGGGTCAAAACCAAGAGCAGCATTGAATTCTTTCGTTCCAAAATAAGAGTCATTTTTTTGTTTGCTTTTTGCCAATTATAAAAATAGTACATTCTTGCCAGGTGCGGTGGCTCATGCCTGTAATCCCAGCACTTTGGGAGGCCGAGGCAGGTGGATCATGAGGTCAGGAGTTCGAGACCAGCCTGGCCAATGTGGTGAAACCCTGTCTCTTTCTAAAAATACAAAAATTAGCCGGGCGTGGTGGCACACACCTGTAGTCTCAGCTACTCAGGAAGCTGAAGCAGAAGAATCACTTGAACCCAGGAGGTGGAGATTGCAGTGAGCTGAGATCATGCCACGGCACTCCAGCCTGGGTGACAGAGCAAGAGTCCATCTCAAAAAAGTAACTAAAGATATAAATAAAATAATAGTATATTCTCAATGAGAAAAAAATCGAATTATTCAAAAGAGTTTAAAGAAAGAAGAATTACCTCCAAATCTCACCACCAGGGGATAGCCTCTGTTGATATTGGCTGTTTTCTCTGTCTTAAGGTGCACACATACACATACACATACACTTTATAAAACTTGGATTTTTACTCAAGATATTCTGTAACTGCTCTATGTAGTAAATAATATGGATATTGCTTTGTGACAGTAAATATGGATGTTATCTTTTTAACATCTCTATTTTCATACATGTATGTAATGATACACTCTTATCTTTACATACTTGTTTACAATTTTCCTTAGCGAACATTTCCAGATGTAGTATAACTAGGTCTAATAATCAGAAGAATTATGTCAATTTATACCACAAATGACATGAAGGACAGCACATTTTCTTAAATCCTTGCTGGCATTAGACAGTGTTCATTTATCCAATCTTTGCCAAGCTGCTAGGTAAAACTGGTTAATGTGGATTTCTGTCATTATTGGTGAAGTTTGGCATCTTTTATATGTTTATCGATCATTTAAAATTTGGTATTTTTGAATTGCTTGTAATGAAATTTCTATTTTAACTGTTTTACTTTCAGGACTTGAGCTTTGTAAGAATTGATGAGACTGGGCAACTGAAAATATTCTGTGCTCCTTAAAAGACATGGGAGCTATAGTTTATAAGTAGCTCTCTCTCTGTATTTGTTGTATTTAGTATCCATATATAGAAATAAGTGATTGGGTATTACCATAAGGAAGTCTTCACTCCCCAAATTGAAGACTCTTGACCTTCTTTCTTCAATTTAGAACAGTTTTATCAAGAAGAATACTTCTATTTTGTAGATGTATGGTTAATTAATTACTTATTTACAGGACTTTTGCATTCATATTGCTCTGTTTGCCAGTTTGGAATTTGAAATGCTTCTCCTCATAGGAACAAATGGCATATTAGTTTGTGTTCACCTGATTGCCACTTAGAAGTGTTATTTGCAAGTGACAGAAACTTAGCTCAGACTGGTTTCCTAAAAGTTGTAACTCTGGACTCATTTAATTGACCAGGTCCAAATGTAGGCCCAGTTAGGGGTAGAGTTTGAAGCAGGGGCTCAAATCATGTCACCAGAAACCAGTTTTTTTCTCCATGTATCTCAGCCTTGTTTCTTCTAGGTTGGGTGCATTTTTATATATGTTCTCCCCTTATTGCATCAAAATGCCTGTAGTAGCCTCTGAACTTATCTCCATCCAAGGTTTAACGTGGTAAGAAAGATCAAGCTACTCTTGCTATTAATAGTTACACAAGAAAAAGCCAGGGGTCACCTCTTATTGTGCCTAATTGGCTTATTTTGAGTTGCATGCCCATCCTGAAACCGGTCTGGCTAGTCTTACTGGCTCAGGCACTTGACCGAGGCTTCTAGAAGCTAGGAGAAGGGGATTTGAGGCCATCTGAACCACTTCAACAGAGCATGAGTGAGGTAAGTTTCCCCCAAAGAAAATCTGGGACTATTGCCAGAAAAGGAGGGGCCAGATGCTGGTAAAACAGAAAACAAATGTCCACTCATTTTGTATCCTCAGTAGAGTGCTCAGTACATGATAGGTAATCTCACAGATATTTACTTACTGCCTGACAATAGCACTATTGGGACTATATTTAAGACATTTGTAACATAAATAGAATTTTGTAGGTTTCCTGGGAACTTCATTGTAGGTGTTAAAAAATTTGACCTAAATGTCAAACAATTACTTAAAAATGAGCATTGAGATAGATAATCATATAAGTTCAGACATATTAAATACTTTTTAAGCTAGCAGTGTTCTCAGAAACAGGAGAACAAGGAGGGTAATCAGTAATAATCTGGAGTTGATTTTAGGAAGTATAATTCACTTATTCTCTTGTATGTATTCAATTAATAGACGTTTATTGAGCGCCTATTCTGTGCCAATTACTGCAATGCCTGGGTGCTGAGAGTACCCATATGAATGAGACATGGTGTCAGCACTGAGATGATTGAGTAGTCTAGTGAGGGAGCCACTGTCCTGGGAAAAATGTGACAGCAGAGTGAACTGGAGTGTGATGAGAGTGCACGGATCAGCCTTCATGGTCCGTCACAGCAAACGGAGCTCAAGTCATTACATCTGCTTTCCAAACCTCCAGTGGAAAGGCCAGAGAGCATAGGGAACTACCACTCTCTTCCTTTATAGAACACTCTCTGAGAGTGTGATGCACTTATTCTGTCTCATTAGTCTGACTTTAGTCCATGGCTGCATCTAGCTGTAGAGGGGTGGCAGATATCCTTTTAGCAGGGTGCATTGCCACAGTGAATAAATTTGATGTTTGGTTATTGAAGAGGAGGAAGAAATAAATGTTGGGATATGCAAATAATTTTTGTAGAGATAGTATAACTAGAAATCATATTTTTGAGTCATTAGTAAAACATATTAGTAAAATTTCATTAGCAAAATTTAATTTGATGTAAAATTTACTTCAAAGAGACTGAGCACTAAGGAGAAATTGTGAAGTTCCTTGAGTTCTGAAATAGGAAAAATATGTTGTTTGCTATCCATCTTTCATACTGTTTCTTAAGTACTCATTTGCTTAGTGTTCAGTTTAGCATTTTGCTAGGTAGTTTGAAATGGGAAGAGGGACAAGGGAATTAAAGATTGATTATCATGAAAAAAAGCACGGCACTATTTCACCTAAGGTGCAGCTTTGTCTAGGAAATACTAGTTTCTCTCCTAATAGACAGTTATAAGTAGAAGGAAAAAATTAAGCATTAATGCAATGTTACTTCATGTTGATTCCCACAAATCAGGTTTTCTCTGTACCGAATATGGAAAGAGAGTTTTTTTTTTTTTTTTTTGAGACAGAGTTCCGCTCTTTTGCCCAGGCTGGAGTGAAGTGGCGCAATCTCGGCTCACTGCAACCTCCACCTTGTGGGTTCAAGCGATTCTTCTGCCTCAGGCCCTGAGTAGCTGGGATTACAGGTGCCTACCACCATGCCTAGCTGATTTTTGTATTTTTAGTAGAGACGGGGTTTTGCCATGTTGGCCAGGCTGGTCTCAAACTCCTGACCTCAGGTGATCCACCCGCCTCAGCCTCCCAAAGTGCTAGGATTAAAGGCATGAGCCACCACACCCGGCAGAAAGAGAAAATTTATATTGTTTGTCGTAGTTCACTTACTATTTTTATTCTTTAATAGTTATTTTAAACGTAGTATCTAGGAAAGGCAAATTAATAGACAAACATAGCCATAAAAGAGCATTTCTCTTGTATCAGTTCTTTAGTTTCTAACCAGTGAATTAGGGTGAAAAGGCCAAGATCTTTGTCAATAATGGCAGGTAGTAAAAGATGATCTGAAGACCTATACTTCTTACTTAAATGCTCATAGAGTATCAGGGCTAGAAAGTGTCTTTAGGGATTGCTTAGTGGGACTATCCTCCTCCAAATTGGAGAAAACAAGTAATAAATATCCTGGGAAGAAAATTTTTCTGCCCTGTGTTAAAAAAATCCTTTCCCCAATACCTCCGATTTCTCTCTTTCATTCTAGGGTTTGATAGCAAGGTCAGGAAAGCTTTTCCCATCAATGCTAGTCTCTTGGGATTAAATTTTAGCCCGTTTCTGTTTTTCCTTTTTTTTTTTTTTTTTATTAGTAGAGATTGGAATCAGCTAGTTTTTGTCATTTGTGAAGATCTCTTCTTACATTACTTGAAACTCTTTCAAAAATATTTCTCCTGCAATTCATCTCCCAGATGAACAGTATGAGTCTTAAGCTTTTGTCACTGGTCTAATTTTCTAACCTTAATTATAATGATAATGATTGTTTTAATTTTGATTTTTAAATTTTAGTTAAAATAATCATTATCATTATTATTTTATCTATTTAATCTATAATATTCCAGATAAATGCCAGGCAGTGAATATGAATTTTAATAATTATTGAGCATTTACTGTATCCTAGGCGTTCGTTACCTATATTCTTTTTAGAGACCAGTTTATGCCCTTGGAAATTGAGGTCCCTGCATCCTCAGGACTAAGGGTAATGCTGGGCTATGTGGCCTTTCTGTAGCCCCTGCTGAAAGTGAATAGCTAAATTGCTTTTTCTCTTCTCTTCTGCCAAGGAAAGCTTCAGGGCTGGTGCGAGGTTGTGGGTTGAGGGGCTGGAGAAGCTGTATTAGCTACCTCATGACATCAACATGACTTTAAATAGACTTTCTAGAGACGTTCCGGAAAGATTACTCATGCCTTAATTTTCTTTCTCAAGGTCCTCCTCAAAACTCCAAATTGCATTATACTACCTGACATAACATCTTTATTTTCCATTCCTTGTAGATTCCTTCACTGTGCTCCTTTTTTTTTACATTAATTTGCCATATTTCTCTCTTCCACCACTTCTCTGGCTCTGGTATGTCTTTTGGTATTTTGTTGAAAAATAAATTCTCCTAAGATATAGTGTCAAGGACGTGATAATTTCATAGATCTCCAGCAGTTCCTATCCGTATTTTGGCTGGTGGTCTCTTATATTTAGTCTGGTGTTAGTAACAATAATAATCTAAGGTATGTCTTGACACAAAGTAAATTTTGTTTGGACAGTTAGCTGACTATGGAAACTTTCTAAGGAAACTGGATCTTTGAAAAATATTTTTAATGTATTTTTTATTTTATTCTTGGAAATAATTTATCAGCAATTTTTAAAATGCAAGAACTTTTTTTTTTTTTTTTTTTCCGAGACAGAGTCTCATTCTGTCATCTAGGCTGGAGTGCAATGGTGCAATCTCAGCTCACTGTACCCGCTGCCTCCAGGGTTGAAGCGATTCTCCTGCTTCAGCCTCCTGAGTAGCTGGGATTACAGGCGTGTGCCACCATGCCTGGCTAATTTTTGTATTTTTAGTAGAGATGAGGTTTCACTATTTTGGCCAGGCTGGTCTCAAACTCCGAACCTCAAATGGTGTGCCCTCCTTGGCTTCCCAAAGTGCTGGAATTACAGGTGTGAGCCACCTCACCCAGCAAAATACAAGAACTTTTAAAAAGAACCAAACAATATACTTTACTAATAGTGATAAAACATTTGGCAGCAATTTTAAGTTCAGATCCTTATGGGTCTGTACGTTCTTTAGTACTTTTATTCCTAACTAAGCCAGCACTTTGAATGAAAGGACATTGGATGTATTCAACTGATCTTTCATCTTACAACTAGATGTCAGTGTTAACATACTTGATTAAATGTCTCAGGTGTGAGTATAATGAGTAATTCAGTAGTTACTCACCTATATGAGATATAGATTAGAAAATAAATAATAAAGAAGGAATAGAATTTTAAAAATTTCTTTCCTTATTTCAAAGTGGACTGGTTATGCCTTAATTTTCTTTCTCAAGGTCCTCCTCAAAACTTCAAACTGCATTATATTATCTAACATAACGTCTTTACATTTACATTTTTTACATTTGCATTTACATCTTGTAAATATTGATTTTTTTCCCACATTAATAACTACACAAGAACAGTTAAATTTTTTTATTTATTTGGTTAGGAAAGTCAAGAAGAGTGTGAACTTGTAAAGCTTTTCACTACTACCAACAAAAAGTTCTTCCCTACAGCGTTTCCAGAAAGAAGAATCATCAGAAAAAGAAAGGAAAGTATTGCTATTCAAATGTCTGTGTGTGTGTGTGTGTGTGTGTGTGTGTGTGTTTCTTGTCTATTTTTGTAAGAAGCATATTGAAAGCAAGAATTATGTATGTATCCTCAGTGACATTTCTAACATCTTACCTAGAAGTCTCTCTTGAAATAACTAAATCTACCTTTTAAATTTAGTCCTCATATAAATGGAAGCGTGATGTCCTTATGTATTCCTTTCGGAGCCAATCTGACAACCTTTTAAAATAATTTGTACTGTGTTTTTCAGCCAAGCGTGGTGGCCCACACCTGTAATCCCAGCACTTTGGAAGGCTGAGGCAGGCAGATCACTTGAGGTTAGGAGTTTGAGACCAGCCTGGCCAATATGGTGAAACCCTGTCCCTACTAAAAATATAGAAATTAGCTGGGTGTGGTGGCAAGTGTCTGTAGTTTCTGTTACTCTGGAGACTGAGGCAGGAGAATCAAATTGCTTGAACCTGAGAGGTGGAGGTTGCAGTGAGCCGAGATCATGCCACTGAACTCCAGCCTGGGCAACAGAGTGAGACACTATCTCAAAAAATAAATAAATAAATAAATAAATAAATAAAATAAATGTGTTTCTCTAAGTAGGATATCTCACCTTTTTTTTTTAAACCAGGCTTCCTGTTAATAAATATGAAATCCTGAATAATAACTGAAATATCATGAATAAAGTCTAGGCAAAGTAATACATCAAAGTACTGAAAACACATCCTCTTCCTCTGTTTCAATGAAAAGATACTCACGAATCCCTTTCCCAAATTCTGCCTCCTTTTTGAGAATTACTACTCTTGGATCACTCAAGTGATGGAGCTCACATAGGCAAAATTCTATAGAATTATATTCACTTTGACATTTTTAATTATACATTTTCAAAATCTATATATGTAACTTAAAAGTAAAGAATTTTGGAGATTGTAGATTTAAACTGTATACTAAGAAATATCAAGGCAACTAGTCTTTGGAATTCAAGTTAAGATTTTGACAGAATTGACAGGTTTGCTTTTTAAAACTTATCTGTAAGTTTAACCTTTTCCTTAGAAACAATAACCACCCCCCAATTCTATTTTGAGAAGGCAAGTTGAATTAGTGTCAGTAATATCTTAGTACATCCATTTCTCTTAATAGAAATAACTTTTTAAGTTATGCAGTAGGTCCTAATTTTATAACAGTCTAAAATATGTGCATCAATCCATGCAAACAGTGCATTTGCTTATTGGCTTTGAAAATCTGTTCTTTCCTGAGAAAGAAATTTCAGTTCATCAGTTTTTGGATCACCATATGAAATACTCATTTGGCAGTTGATTTTTGTCAGTTTTTATGACCTCCAGGCATATAACACAAGAACATAAAATTAATTATTGATTACAGTGCAGATTCAGCACATCACTGTACATTTTCACTCTGCCTGAAAAAAGATACAAGTCCTATTAACCAATGTCAGGCAATCCCAGTTTGCTTCATATATGGTGGAAATACAAGCAGGCTACATCATGCTGATTACAACATATTTAACAAAACAGTAAAATAGTACAATGAAGTTTATTTAATTTTCAGCTCTCTTACAGTGATTAGTAGTAGCTTAATTCTTGACTTGAATTATGATAGTTTTGTGTTTGCAAATGGATCCTTATATATTAATATTTTCTTTTGTTTAGAAGCCTTCTTGATTTATGTTTCAAGATCTGATGGCTTTAACAGATACAATTTATAACCTCAAATTTATTTTATACTAAGGCCAGTAACTAGTTATTGCACTTCAATGCAGAAGAGGCAGCTGTCTATGGCATTACTGATTAGACCACCAAGTTTGCAGCACGCAGGGGATCTTACTTTTCAGCAGGATACCTGCTGAGTGTCTTGAGCCTAGCAGCCATTTAGTATCAATCCTTGGAGACATTTGTGCCTTTCTTTTCTTCCTGGCCTCATCTCTTCTAGGCCTCAGTGGAAGGTTATGATTGTTTTCTGAGCGTGTGTGAGCCTTTCTCCTTGCCCTGTCTCCTGTGGTCTGCTTTTATTTCCGGGTGCCTGCTGCATGAGTCCTAGTTCCTCACACCACTCTTTTTTTTTTTTTTTCCTTTTTTGATATTTGGGGTAAGCTAATCAGCTAACTATTAATCAACTAATGGTATTAAAGAATCGGCTACTTGGATCTACTATGTAATATTGTATTGCTTTCTCTGATGATTTTCTGAAGTCTCAAATACTTTCATTTTTAAAACTTCACACTTTCTCCTGACTTGGGTCAGGGCATGCACATAATTGGTTTTATACATATTTGGGGAAAGAGGGTGGTCATTGTAAAATATAGCTACGGCTACAATTGTGGAGTTCCAATTTCGGCTAACATTAAAGAATATGCTAGAATTCTCTGGATCTGAAAACATTTTGAAAATGGTTTTCTTCACCAGCAAGACAGAAGGGCAGTGAAGGCATTCCTTTATAATTATTTCCCTTATTCTTCTTATATTCTCTTCTGGTCTGTCAACATTTAAAATGTTGGTAAATGAACCATTTACATTTGGATACCAATTAATTGTTCATCTCATTTAAAAACTTATGTAAGCTCTAATTGGGTGAATTTTGTCAAATGTGAATTACATCTCAATAAAGCTGTTACTAAAAAAACAATTAAAGCATTTTCAATGGTACTGTGAAGCAACATTGTATTAATGTGAGAAGGTGCAGAACAAATGGTAGTTTATTTATATAAAGTTCTAAATCATAGGGCTTTTAGAATATATCTCACTTTTCAATTTTTAGTTTGTTTTAACTTAGGAAAACTTTCTATTTGACTTATAAGTGTGTCTCTTAATGAGGGAGGAAAGCAAATATAAGAGGTAAGCACTAAAATATTTAAATCTTCTCTTTAGTATTGGAATGCTGTTTAGAGAGATGAACCAGAAGTCCATGTTCAAATATTTCACTTCATGCCTGGCTTCCCCTGGCCTGACCTTCCACTGACAGTCTGAGATGAGGCTAATAAATGAAGAAATAAGGAAATGGATTACTAAATTCTGCTATTTTGATTTCTTTCTATAATGAACTTAAGGACTTTTCTTTTCAAGATACTCCATTTATCATTACAGAAAGCTGTATACCTGCACAAGTGGTGGCTGCCATTGATGTCAACACTGTCGCTAATGAAGTATACAAGTATAATTTTCCTCACACACAGTTACTTGCCAAGACGATTGAAGTGAGTAATTGTCATTGTTTTAATAAGTATGTAGCAAGGGAAATGTGATTGAAAAACACTGCCTAATACTGGTTTCCGTTGTCTTAATTGGAAGATAAAGCATATATAAATTTAAGAGTTCAGGAGAAGGAGATTAACATTTTATATCCTATCAGAAGATAGCATGCTTTTAAAAAAAAGTCCAGCTATAGACAGGGAGATCAATATTTTGGTCTTTCAGAGAAATAATTGAAATGTAAGGATATGCTTGACTTCTAAATGCTTGGTTCTGTGGTGATATTGAACTTCGAAAAAGTATTTACTTTTATTAAATACTTATGCAATATATATAGCATGCAGTAAGAACAAGGGAGAAAATCATTGGCTTTTACTGAATGCTTCTTATTTTAGCAAACCTGTCAAGGTTAACCTTTTTCACCTGTGGTGACTTCAGCACAAGTATTGAAACACTGATTTATGTTGAGTTATTTTTTAAATAATGTGAAATTGGCTGGGCGCGGTGGCTGACGCCTGTAATGCCAGCACTTTGGGAGGCCGAGACAGGTGGATCACGAAGTTATGAGTTCGAGACCAGCCTGGCTGACATAGCAAAACCTGGTCTCTACTAAAAATACAAAAATTAGCCAGGTGTGTTGGCACATGCCTGTAGTCCCAGCTACTTGGGAGGCTGAGGCAGGAGAATCGCTTGAACCCAGGAGGCGGAGGTTGCAGTGAGCTGAGATCGCGCCACTGCACTCCAGCCTGGTCGACTTTGTCTCAAAAAAAAAAAAAAAAAAAAGAAATTGTGTTGTTTCTCCTAATTTATCATGAAAAATTTTACAAACAAATTTCTCATGAAATTTCTCATAATTTACATGCAATAAATATGTAGTTTATTGTACGTAATTTTAAGTGGGCAGTTTGAGTTTCGACTCAATCATCAACTGTGTAACTACTACCACCACAATCAAGACTTAGAACACTTCCATCATGCTAAATTGTTCTTAGTGCCACATTTCTGTCAGTCTCCAACCCCAACCCAGGCGACAATGGATCTGCTTTCTTTTCATTATGGATTAAGTTTTCCCTTCCTAGTATATCACAAATAAAATCATAAGAGTGTAGTTCTTTTGAGTGGAACTGCTTTTGTTTAGTGTTGATGGTTTTGGAATTCATCATGTTTTGTTGTATATCAATAATTTGCTCTTTTTTATTGTTGAGTGATATTTTGTACAGTAGAATATCATATACTACAATATGTGTATGTATTCACATTATTATAGACATTTAAGTAGTTTCTAGTTTTTTACCATTACAAGTAAAGTTGCAATGAACATATATGTACAAATCTGTGTGGATCTTAGTTTTCATTTATTGTGGATAAATACCTACATTTATTAAACTTTATGAGAAAATACCAAATTTTCAAAGTTTTTGAAGTGTTTTTACCATTTTACATTGTCACTATTTTTATTTGGATTTTTAAAAAATTCATTATTCTTCACTAATGTCTTTTTAAAGACAATTAGTCATAATATTTATTCAATGTAAACTGAAATTTATTTTTAAATATCTAAATATCTATATCTATCTTTGTTTTATTTTCCTGTTGGATTCTCTAGGGTTTACAAGATGCATCTTTTACTTGTGGAAGCCCGCCTTCAAATAACATTATACCACTTTATGTTTAAATTTTAACAGTATTCCTCCAATTTCCCCTACTGGTCTATTTTGATATTTTGTCTTGCACTTTACTGCTACGAATGTTATAGGCACCAACATACATTGTTACTGTTTTTTGGATTAAATAGTCAAATATCTATTAAAGAACTTTTAAAAAGCACAAAGTCTTTTATATTTATCTATATACCTACAATTTTCAGCACTTTTTATCCTTGTGTTTTAGATCAAAGTTTGCATGTGATATAATTTTTCTTCTTCCTGAAAAACCTTCTTTAGTGTCTCTTGTTGGTTATATGTGGAAAGGGACAAATTACCTTGGTGCTTTTGAGTAAAAAAGTGTTTTATTTTGTCTTCACTGTGAAATATAATTTTTACTCATTTTTTTTTCTTTTTTGGAGAGGCAGGGTCTCACTATGTTGCCCAGGCTGGTCTCAAACTCTTGGGCTCAACTGGTCCTCCCATATCAGCCTCTCAAAGTGCTGGGATTACAGGCATGAGCCACTGTGCCTGGCCCACTGAATCTTTGATTGCATTCATTTTGAAAGATATTTTTGTAAAAATCTGTTTGTTTTCTTTTAATACTTTCCAGTGTTATCTGGGTTTCTTAATTTCTGACTTAAGGTCTGTAATAATTTCTGCTTTCATTCCTCTTAATATATTGTGTCTTTCTTTGTCTACATTTAAGATTTTATCTTTATCACGTGTTTTGAAAAGTTTTATTTTGATGTGCTCTGTATGTTTTTCTTTATTTGTAGTGCTTGGACCTTGTGGTGCTTTTCTTATTTATAATTTTCATCAAATTTGGGGGGTTTGACCATTATTGCTTCAAAAATAATCTCTGTTCTCTTTCTTCACTTTCTCCAGTTACATACTGTAGAGTAAATGATAGCTACCGAAGACAGAGTGATCCGTGATAAATATCATTAATGCCTCTGAAGAGGAGAATGACTCCAGTGGAACAAAAACTCTTAATAAAAATAGATAAAAATTTTTCTAGAATGAAATTTACAATATAACATCCATGAGCCCTTCTGGAACAGATGACTGCATCACTTAATCTAGCTGAGCAAGAGATGAATCAAAGTAGAAAACCCAGGAATGAAGCTGCCGTGTTAGGAGGAAAACTATGGTTAGAAAATAGCTGAAAATGTTGTAAAGCTTTGCAGTGTAGAAATAATAATGTAATCGGAGTGGGAAGAGGCAGTGAGACACAAAAAATATGTCTTTGCAGATAAATGAAACTATCAATTTTTTAGGACATTATTCAGTGTTGTTGTCAGGGTCTCAGCAGAGCTGGGAAAGAGAAAGCTCAGCTGTCAAGAGCGTTAAAGTAGCTGATTAAGGCCACAAGCCAAAAACAAAAGAGTTAAGCCTTCACTCACTTACAGTGGTGTTACTGGCAAGAATCTAAAAGCAGAGACAATGCCACTCTCTCGGTTCCATTTACCCATGGATCAGTGTATACGTGAGGGCCCTCTCACTGTTGAGGGAATCCTTGGCCTTAAGGGAAGGGAAAGCAGGGAGGGCTAGCAGTGGAAAAGTGCTGGGGACTGAGTCAGAATGGCACACTCTTCAGGTGTCATCAGTGTCTTCAGGGTTTCCCACACCTCCCCACACAAGGAGGCCTTGGCAGAGAAGTTCTGCTCAAGGCCTCAGATAAGGACACCTCGGAATGAAGGCTCTGGGACTAAGAATGCAAATGTTCCAAGAGCCTGACTGCTGGCCTGGTTGCCTGAGATCTTGACTACACACACACACACACACACACACACACACATCTAAATCCAGTAACATACCAAATGGTGAAACTTTAAAAGTATTCTCATTAAAATAATAAAAAGACAAGGATGTCCACCATTAGCACTATGACTTGATATAGTTGTGGATCTGTTAGCTAATGTACTTACACAGAGAAATATCATATAAATAGAAATATTTAAAAATGTGATTGAGTATGCCGGAAAATACCAACAAGTTAAGCAAAAATAATATATGAGGAACAATTAGTGCTTTAATAAGGACGCTGGCTACAAAAATATGATAACCTACAGCATACAATATACAATATGTCTACTAGAAGACATAATAGGAGAAAGTTCCTATTTTTAGTAACAACACAAGAATCTGTATAACAAGAAATCTATATAACTCACATGGGAGTTAAAGAGATTTGAAAAATGATGAAAGCGTACTGTGGTCTTGGATAGGATGGCTGAATATTGTAAAAATATTGGCTCTGTTTCACTATAACTTCAATAAAATAGTCAAAAGTTGTTGTTTTCTAATCTACCAAGTTCTTCCTAAAGTTCAAATGAAAATTCAGTTTAAGAATAGCCAGAAAACTTTCTGAGAAAATAGGCAATAAGGCAGGCAGAGGGACAAATACACCTGCCAGTCAATACAGGATGAACAGTGTTAGCCCACTGACTTGATCTAATATTATCTGAAAGCAAAAGTATTTTCCTTAACTTGTATAGTCATATAAGGTAAAAAATCAATTTCCTTTGGCTTTAAAATATTTAGTCATTAAAAATAACCTGTGTATTTCCATGACTACTTTATTTAATCCAAATACACTTTCATTGACCTAGAATACCAGGTTAAATAAGTTGTGAAGGGTTCAATTTAGTGATGAATTTTTGCCTAACTGCCTTATCAGTTGGCCTACACTATTAAAAAAATCACTATTTTCAAGAATCTGTTAAAGCTGTAATTTTTTTAGTGGCTAGCTGTATTAGAGACATTGACTCTGTTTACTTCCTTTCGATTCTAGACATAGGATGCCCCTGGAATAATTGCTATGAGAGATTGTTGTTTTTTACTTTAGTTGTAGGAATTTAGCTGTTATCATTCCACGTCCAGTTGCTTATCATAATGGCCCTGTATGTACAGGCTGTTGAACTTGAATGTGATGTGCTAATACCCTGCCCCGTGTGTTCTGGCAGACTGCTCAGTGTAGGATTTTCAGATTGCTTTCCTTAACACTGGGGAGTCGAGAAGTGCTTTAGGAAATTTTCAATATCTGATTTTGATTTCATTTTCACAGATGTATCTTTAATTATTTAAAATCCTATGATCAAAAACTGATAGACAAGCACATTCAAACTGTTAATACAATGGAGACAACTGACATGTTCCCACGTTAACTCACTCTTTACAGAATTCAGAGTAAAGCTTTTCCTGCTTTATTCATGTGCTTGAACTTCTTAGAAGTGGGCTATAATTAGGAAGGTTTTGATTCTGGGCTCATTTCTTTAAGTTTCTAGCTAAAGATGTGCACTGAGAGTGCTTAATGTGAGTTGGCAAACCCCTGACGTGTGCTTCCCTGTGTTTGTCTTCTGAGATATAGAAAAGGAGCAACACAGCACAGTTTTCAGCTACTTAGCCCATTAGGAATTCTTTTGATGCATCTTGTCAACAGTCATTTGAAGTTCATTGCACACAACTGCAAAACAAAATAATTGTGGATATCTGAGAATGAGGCCCTTTTCCATTTGATAATATATTAACAGATGTATATGAAAGGGATGGTGACTGGTCTGCATATCACATTTGCTAAATAAAGAACATTATTGACAGGTAGGTATTTAAAAATTTCCTAGACCCCATCTCCATGAACGTTATCAATTATAAAATAAGGTTCTCCACGTTTTACTCTAGAAAACAGCAGTGTTACACTTGAGGTGTGATACAGGCCAGATGTGCTTAGGATCCAGGAAACAACTGTTCCAGCTCTGGGCTGGTGCTGGGACCTTGGGGGAAGTCACTTAATTTCTTGTAGCTTCAGTTTACTGCCCCACTTCCTTCACAGTATTGCTTTGAGAAGTTAGTTAACCAAAGTTGATTTGACAAGCATTGTATTATAAACTGTTTCAGTTTCTGATATATTTAATTATAGTTAGTATTTTCCCTCTTCCCCATTCTATCCATGTTTTTATGTTCTTTTTTCCCCCTAAATGTTCATTCCTCAGGGCATTACACTCGAAGAGTTTGACAGATTATCTTTTGATATGATTTTAATGAGCCCTCCCTGCCAGCCATTCACAAGGTATGTGTCATAAATATTTCAGTGTTGTATTGGTCCATTTTCATGCTGCTGATAAAGACATACCTGAGACTGGGCAATTTACAAAAGAAAGAGGTTTACTAGACTTACAGTTCCATGTGGCTAGGGAAACCTCACAATCATGGCGGAAGGCAAGGAGGAACAAGTCACGGGCAGCAGGTAAAGAGAGAGATGTTGTGCAGGGAAACTGCCCTTTATAGAACCATCTGATCTCATGAGACTTATTCACTGTCACAAGAACAGCACAGCAGAGACCTGCCCCCATGATTCCGTTACCTCCCACCGGGTCCGTCCCACAACACGTGGAAATTCAAGATGAGATTTGGATGGGGACACAGCCAAACCATATCAAGTGTAGAGAAAGTGCTTTTGAAGGACTTACTAAATCAGATCATACTGTAGTGTCAAACATGGACACTCTGAAGTTTATTAGCTGCATTTCATAGTTCGGAAATTTTTTCATAAATCCTTCTATCTACTTATGTATGTATTTATTTATTTTTAAATAATAATAATTATTGGGACAGGGTCTTGCTCTGTCACCCAGGCTGCAGTGCAGTGGCATGATCACAGCTCCCTGCAGCCTCAATCTCCCAGGTTCAAGCAATCCTCCTGCCTCAGCCTCCTGAGTAGCTGGGACTAAAGGTATGTACTTCCATGCCCAGCTAATTTTTAAATTTTTGGTAGAGATGGCGTCTCACTATGTTGCCACGGCTGGCCTAAAAGCCCTGGGCTCAAGCTATCCTCCCACCTCGACCTCCCAAAGTGCTGGGATTATACACGGAGCCACCATGCCCAGCCTCCATTCATATTTATAATTAAGCATTAATCACAAAGGAAATAGCAGTTGCTACCAGATGAGCAAATTAATTTGGTCAAAAGTAGATATGCAAGACTGTAGGATACCTCTTTTATACTTACCTAAGACACAATGTTTATTTCCAGCCCAAAGTACCTTAATTCATTTAAACTAATGAGCATTCAAGAATATCTTTCTAATACTGATTAAGCAAAGTGAATTTCCACAATAAATATTCAAGTCCTAAATTGCTTAATTGTACAATTTAAAAGCTAGTTAAGCATGCACTTGTGAACTTTACATTTCTTAAAATTCATATGTACATTGAATAATTCTGACTTTTCATAGCAACGTTATAAACTCTTCATTTAAAAAATTATATATATGTGTGTATATATATATTTGGCTATATGTTTCAGGAAATTATATCTTCGACCAAATCTTGACTAATTGATTTTCATTTAGATATTTTTAATAAGAGTATTTTGGATTATTTTAAATGAAAATAGCAGTAGTAATCCTCTAAGTGTCTGTGTCTTATGCAGAGGATGTCATTTAATTTAACAAGCTTATGGGGTAGCCATTGCTGTTACAATGATTTTACAGATGAGAAACTGGGGCATAGAAAGGTTAACTTTCTCAAGGATATACAATTAAAGAATGTCAGAGCCAAGATTTGTTAATCATTTTATATATTCCATGATTTTAAGTAGAATATCATATGTAATAACCAGTCTAATTCAGTGAATGAATATTCTAATGCCAAATTTCCATCTACATTTGGATTTATTTAAACAATTCTCTAGGAAATGAATTTCCCAAGGATTTGTGGTTCACCTACAAGCCAGGCATTATTTTTGATGCTGTAGTTCCTGTCCTTTGGGAGCTCATAGTCTAATGGGAATGGCTGACAAATAATTATCTTATAATGTTATCTTAAATTATCTTATAAGCTATATAATAAAAGAATGCTGAAAGTGTCACAGGAGTACAGAGGAGAAAAGGGCTTGCTGCATACCAAGAGAAGGGAATTCTTTCAGAGGTGATGTCTGAACTGTGTCTGGAGGTAGATTAGGAGTATATCAGAGCAGGCAGAGGCCATTCCATCTCAGGGTGGCTCTAGGCACGTGCAAGAGTGTGGCCTGTGGAGTACAGTGAGCAGGATATACACAGCGGAATGCAGCTCCAGCTCTGTGAAGCCTCAGGTAATACTGCAGAGGGCCCCGTAGCTTTCCTACTCCCACCTCCCCCTTGTCTTAGCACAGCTCCAGCTGCTGATGGCAGGAGTAACTGATTCTGTAGTCCTCATGTGAAAGTCTGACAGGAAAGGACAAATAAGAACTGAAGATTTCTGAGAAGTCTGTTCACATCCAGTCTAATCCCACAGCTGAACCTCAGATCCACTGATGGTTTTGGTCCTGCCATCAGGTATGAGGAAACTGACCAATGATGCCAGCTAACTTATTTAAGACTCTGAAGATAAATAGCATGCTTTTTTTTTATTATTATACTTTAAGTTTTAGGGTACATGTGCACAACGTGCATGTTTGTTACATATGTATACGTGTGCCATGTTGGTGTGCTGCACCCATTAACTCATCATTTACATTAGGTATATCTCCTAATGCTATCCCTCCTCCCTCCCCCCACCCCACAACAGGCCCCGGTGTGTGATGTTCCCCGTCCTGTGTCCATGTGTTCTGATTGTTCAATTCCCACCTATGAGTGAGAACTTGCGGTGTTTGGTTTTTTGTCCTTGTGATAGTTTGCTGAGAATGATGGTTTCCAGCTTCATCCATGTCCCTACAAAGGACATGAACTCATCCTTTTTATGGCTGCATAGTATTCCATGGTGTATATGTGCCACATTTTCTTAATCTAGTCTATCATTGTTGGACACTTGGGTTGGTTCCAAGTCTTTGCTATTGTGAATAGTGCCACAATAAACATACGTGTGCATGTGTCTTTATAGCAGCACGATTTATAATCCTTTGGGTATATACCCAGTAATGGGATGGCAGGGTCAAATGGTATTTCTAGTTCTAGATCCCTGAGGAATCCCCACACTGACTTCCACAATGGTTGAACTAGTTTACAGTCCCACCAACAGTGTAAAAGTGTTCCTATTTCTCCACATCCTCTCCAGCACCTGTTGTTTCCTGAGTTTTTAATGATTGCCATTCTAACTGGTGTGAGATGGTATCTCATTGTAGTTTTGATTTGCATTTCTCTGATGGCCAGTGATGATGAGCATTTTTTCATGTGTCTTTTGGCTGCATAAATGTCTTCTTTTGAGAAGTGTCTGTTCATATCCTTTGCTCACTTTTTGATGGGGTTTTTTGTTTTTTTCTTGTAAATTTGTTTTGAGTTCATTGTAGATTCTGGATATTAGCCCTTTGTCAGATGAGTAGATTGCAAAAATTTTCTCCCATTCTGTAGGTTGCCTGTTCATTCTGATGGTAGTTTCTTTTGCTGTGCAGAAGCTCTTTAGTTTAATTAGATCCCATTTGTCAATTTTGGCTTTTGTTGCCATTGCTTTTGGTGTTTTAGACATAAAGTCCTTGCCCATGCCTATGTCCTGAATGGTATTGCCTAGGTTTTCTTCTAGGGTTTTATGGTTTTAGGTCTAACATTTAAGTCTTTAATCCATCTTGAATTAATTTTAGTATAAGGTGTAAGGAAGGGATCCAGTTTCAGCTTTCTACATATGGCTAGCCAGTTTTGCCAGCACCATTTATTAAATAGGGAATCCTTTCCCCATTTCTTGTTTTTGTCAGGTTTGTCAAAGATCAGATAGTTGTAGATAAGTGGCATTATTTCTGAGGGCTCTGTTCTGTTCCATTGATCTATATCTCTGTTTTGGTACCAGTACCATGCTGTTTTGGTTACTGTAGCCTTGTAGTATAGTTTCAAGTCAGGTAGCGTGATGCCTCCAGCTTCGTTCTTTTGGCTTAGGATTGACTTGGCAATGTGGGCTCTTTTTTGGTTCCATATGAACTTTAAATTGGTTTTTTCCAATTCTGTGAAGAAAATCATTGGTAGCTTGATGGGGATGGCATTGAATCTATAAATTACCTTGGGCAATGTGGCCATTTTCACAATATTGATTCTTCCTATCCCTGAGCATGGAATGTTCTTCCATTTGTTTGTATCCTCTTTTATGTCATTGAGCAGTGATTGGTAGATCTTCTTGAAGAGGTCCTTCACATCCCTTGTAAGTTGGATTCCTAGGTATTTTATTCTCTTTGAAGCAATTGTGAATGGGAGTTCACTCATGATTTGGCTCTCTGTTTGTCTTTTATTGGTGTATAAGAATGCTTGTGATTTTTGCACATTGATTTTGTATCCTGAGACTTTGCTGAAGTTGCTTGTCAGCTTAAGGAGATTTTGGGCCGAGATGATGGGTTTTTCTAGATATACAATCATGTCATCTGCAAACAGGGACAATTTGACTTCCTCTTTTCCTAACTGAATGCCCTTTATTTCTTTCTCCTGCCTGATTGCCCTGGCCAGAACTTCCAACACTATGTTGAATAGAAGTGATGAGAGAGGGCATCCCTGTCTTGTGCCAGTTTTCAAAGGGAATGCTTCCAGTTTTTGCCCATTCGGTATGATATTGGCTGTGGGTTTGTCATAGATAGCTCTTATTATTTTGAGATATGTCCCATCAATACCTAATTTATTGAGAGTTTTTAGCATGAAGGGTTGTTGAGTTTTGTCAAAGGTCTTTTCTGCATTTATTGAGATAATCATGTGGTTTTTGTCGTTGGTTCTGTTTATATGCTGGATTACATTTATTGATTTGCTTGTGTTGAACCAGCCTTGCATCCCAGGGATGAAGCCCACTTGATCATGGTGGATAAGCTTTTTGATGTGCTGCTGGATTCGGTTTGCCAGTATTTTATTGTGGATTTTTGCATCGATGTTCATCAGGGATATTGGTCTAAAATTCTCTTTTTTTGTTGTGTCTCTGCCAGGCTTTGGTATCAGGATGATGCTGGCCTTATAAAATGAGTTAGGGAGGATTCCCTCTTTTTCTATTGATTGGAATAGTTTCAGAAGGAATGGTACCAGCTTCTCTTTGTACCTCTGGTAGAATTTGGCTGTGAATCTGTCTGGTCCTGGACTTTTTTTTGGTTGGTAAGCTATTAATTATTGCCTCAATTTCAAAGCCTGTTGTTGGTCTATTCAGAGATTCAACTTCTTCCTGGTTTAGTCTTGGGAGGGTGTATGTGTCGAGGAATTTATCCATTTCTTCTAGATTTTCTAGTTTATTTGTGTAGAGGTGTTTATAGTATTCTGTGATGGTAGTTTGTATTTCTGTGGGGTCGGTGGTGATATCCCCTTTATCATTTTTTATTGCATCTATTTGATTCTTCTCTCTTCTTTATTAGTCTTGCTAGCGGTCTATCAATTTTGTTGATCTTTTCAAAAAACCAGCTCCTGGATTCATTGATTTTTTGAAGGGTTTTTTGTGTCTCTATTTCCTTCAGTTCTACTCTGATCTTAGTTATTTCTTGCCTTCTCCTAGCTTTTGAATGTGTTTGCTCTTGCTTCTCTAGTTCTTTTAATTGTGATGTTAGGGTGTAAATTTTAGATCTTTCCTGTTTTCTCTTGTGGGCTTTTAGTGCTATAAATTTCCCTCTATACACATGCTTTTGAACCCTGGTCCTCTGTTCCTGCTGCTCAGGCTCAATTCAAGTCTTCATTTCTGCTTGATCCTCTATTCCTGCTGCTCGGGCTCAATTCAAGTCTTCATTTCTGCCTTATCTTTGGTCATGTTGTGAATCTTTCTTGTAGGATCTATTTGCTAGCCCAAGTACTGCCTGTTTACATGACTTGTTTTGACCCTGGTTACTCTAACCAAGTTGCACCTCCTGCTTATAGAATCTAGACTTCAGCTTAAGTCTCTCCTATTTACTTTGGACAAAATTGTGTTAGTTTTACCTACTGCTTTGATTGGCTTAGATTGGCCACCAGTGCCATTAGCTTCGGGTTGCTACTCCATTCAGCAGTTCGTTCCTCTGAACTCTGGTTACATCACCAAGGGGAAAGCAAAAAGTGTAGTCAGCCAGCACATGTGTGTGTGTTTTCCTAAACATAGTGATTTTAAGAGAGCAGTTGGTTTTATTCTGCATTGACTTCTTGTTCTTTTTTGATTAATGTAAGTCATTTGTCATATTGTTTTATAAAGATAAATTTTAAGTGTACTTATTAGATATGTAAGGATTTTTTTCTTTTAAACCTCTGCCTTCCAGGTTCAAGTGATTCTTGTGCCTCTGCCTCCTGAGTAGGTGGGATTACAGGCGTACCCCACCACGCCCGGCTGATTTTTGCATTTTTAATAGAGATGGAGTTTTGCCATGTTGGCCAGGCTGGTCTGGAACTCCCGGGCTCAAGTGTTCTGCCCACCTCAGCCTTCCGAAGTGCTGGGATTATAGATGTGAGCCACCACGCTCGGCCTAATTTTTGTATTTTTAGTAGAGACAGGGTTTCGCCATGTCGGCCAGGCTGGTCCCGAACTCCTGGCCTCACGTGATCCACCTGCCTCACCTCCCAAAGTGCTGGAATTACAAGCGTGAGCCTCTGCGCCTGGACCCCTTTTTTCTTTATAAATGAATAAATGTATTTTCTTCTCTGTAACAACAAAGATGACCCTATTTTTTGTGAGGACCAACTTA
This sequence comes from Homo sapiens, assembly GCF_000001405.40. Lineage (NCBI taxonomy): Eukaryota > Metazoa > Chordata > Mammalia > Primates > Hominidae > Homo > Homo sapiens. Next base: position 17,162,342 of record NC_000010.11, on the reverse strand, counting down.
TTTTTATTCTCCTTTTGACTTAAAAAGTGATTTGACATCTTTTTATCAGATTCTTAATAAACTTTCTGTGTTTTTTTTTGTTTTTTTTTTTTTTTACCCCTTTAGGATTGGCCGGCAGGGTGATATGACTGATTCAAGGACGAATAGCTTCTTACATATTCTAGATATTCTCCCAAGGTAAAAACTTAGGTTCCTGTACAAGCTTACCTTTCATTTGAAACTCCAGGTCTGGAAGAATGTGACGTTTGTCATTTTGTAGAGGATAGCCATTTATACATGCTCCCTTGAGATATTGGGCCTGTCATTTATCTTCTCCTACCATGACTAATAGAGTAACTGCAAATGTTTCACAATTCCATGCTTGCCACCACGGTGAGTGACAGGGAATCACAGCCTACTAGCTAGATTCTGCTGCCTCTGCTCATAGTGTTGATGCAGATGGTGCTAATGTTAGTGAATGCTGTTACCCATGGCCTGGAAATATGTGCAAACCCTTAAAGCCACCCTTCTATGTGAGTAGCCGCCCTTTCAGTTGACACCACAGAGGCTCTGTGTGAACCCATGCTTGAGATAAACTTCAATGGAAATCAACATTTCAAATGTTAACTTTATCAAGTGTGCTGTGTTTAAGGGAAAAATGAATAAAATATATGTTGTCTCCAGCCTTATAAAATTCCATTTTAAAAAGAGTTCAGAAAATTACTTACCTCGTATTTCCCACAAGTAATGATTTTCTTTACTTTTTCTTCTTAGTAATGAGATATTTAGAATTCCATTTGTTTATTTTTTTATAGATTACAAAAATTACCAAAGTATATTCTTTTGGAAAATGTTAAAGGTTTTGAAGTATCTTCTACAAGGTAAAAAAATGTATTTGTCTTGCATACATCTTAGACTTGGTATATCTTATAGTAGGAACTGTTGTGAAATAAAAATCTTAAAAACCAGTGCATACATTCTGACATTTTATATATTAAATGTCTTACTCATCAGTATTGATTTTACTAATAATGTATTAGTAAGTATTACAATAAGTATTACCAAGTTTTGTTCAACTGATTCTCTTCTATTTTGATATTTTCTAATTTTTCTAGAGTAAGTGGTTGGTAAGAATGGCATTTCTCAGTTTTAGTCATTTATATTGGTGCTTATTTCTGTGGAAGTAGAAATGTTTTCAGTAAGAATTGGTCCTGTTGACAAGTATTTTCTGCCCTACAGTTGGATGCAGGAAGAATTCCTGTGTCGGGGTTCTTTCAGATGGTGGCTCAGCTGGAGAGAAAGCATCCACCCGAGTCCTTGAGTCAGCTGCTGTCTGTAACAGTGCTCCCATCTGACTGGCCACCTTGAAGATAAAGTTCTAGTTCCCATGCAGATTGATCATCACTAGATTAGCAATTCTGACTTTCATCAGTTTGGATAATTTATCTGGCAGCTTTATTTATTTGTAGTAATGAATTATGTATATCTTTTGATTCAATATTATTTCTGAGGTGCTGAACTTAGTAAAAACGTAGGGTCATTATCTTTCTAAACAAGTGAAGTTACAGTTTTCACTTAAAATGAGGTTTTGTGGGCCGGGCGCGGTGGCTCACGCCTGTAATCCCAGCACTTTGGGAGGCCGAGGCGGGTGGATCATGAGGTCAGGAGTTCTAGACCAGCCTGGCCAAGATGGTGAAACCCTGTATCTACTAAAAATACAAAAAAATTAGCCAGGCGTGGTGGTGGGTGCCTGTAATCCCAGTTACTCAGGAGACTGAGGCAGAGAATTGCTTGAACCTGGGAGGCGGAGGATGCAGTGAGCCGAGATTCTGCCATTGCATTCCAGCCTGGGCAACAGAGTGAGACTCTGTCTCAAAAAAAACCAAAAAAACAAGAAAACAAACAAAAGAAACCCAGCTTTTGTGTACATTATTTAAATAAGAACTGCCTTTCCAAGTAAGAATTAAAGTTTTTTTTTTTTCTTTTTAGAGACCTCTTGATACAAACAATAGAAAATTGTGGCTTTCAGTACCAAGAGTTTCTATTATCTCCAACCTCTGTAGGTATCACAGTTATAAATGCTTATATAAATTATAATTTAAAGGCTTTTTTTCCCAAAGGAAATTTGATTCGATAAGCAGAATGGCTTTATTTTGGATAATATTATAGGTAAACTGAAAATAGTTTAGATTATGGGTCTTCCTTCCCAAAGAATTTAGTGCATGCATATAAATTCATTCATACATATTTTATGAAAAACAATTATATAGCTTGAAAGAGAGACTATATTTCTCTTTTAGAGAGCAAAGGATAGCATATTTTGAAAATACGTCAAGTTTGGTATTTCCAAACTTGGTGTTAATAATGTTAATAATTAATAATGTTAATGTTTCAAAATAATCCAAAATAGAAAACAATATAAACATGTAGTAACTTTCTAGTTACTGCTTTGGGGACATAACATTAAGTTGAAAACACTGCTTCCATTTCATGGATAAGAAATTTAAGTAATTGATCATGATAAGACAAGTTATTTGACAGATTTGAATTTTGCAAGTGTTGCTGTCAGCTTTTTGTTATTGTTCTTGTTAGTTTCTTGTCATCTTTAGCCATATTATATTGTTCTTTGCCCAGAAATTAATAGAAAACCCATTTCAAAAATTCAAGATACAAGCTGTGGAAATTGGCAACATATTTGATCTCTTAAAATTTATTTCATATTTATTGCCTTTTAGCTTGTAAAACATAGTGTATCATCCTTTTTTAACAAAATGAGGTAATAAATAGCCAAGAATAGCTATATTTGAATTTTTAAATTATTAATATATTATCAATAATGAATGTAAAAATATCTATACTACGTCTTAGCTGGGAAATATAAAATGGAAGTGACTTGTAGATATATTTGTCAGTTTCAATCTTTAACTCATTCAAATAAAAGTACAAAGTAGCAACTTAATAGTTTAAAATGTACTACAATGGAGTCTTCTACAAATCCGTAGCAAATTTTGCTGTGGTAGAAGCTAAATGTAGGCTCGTTTGAGTTTTTTGTTGTTGCTGTTTAACTTGGTGCTAAAGTTGGTACCGCTCTCTTTAATTTTTTAGAGTAACTAACTGCTTTGCTTTGCTTACAGCTTGGCATTCCAAATTCAAGGCTACGATATTTTCTTATTGCAAAGCTTCAGTCAGAGCCATTACCCTTTCAAGCCCCTGGTCAGGTATTATTATTGGAATTTTATTATGAATATTATGGCTTATTTATTATAAATATATATTAGTCTGCTAATTTATTTTCAAGAACTACTTTGTGTAGCTGTCTCTGTGTACTATAGAATCTAAAGTATAGACCATGCCCTAGGTCCATCTTCAAGGCTGTTTTCATCTTGCCACTTTTATTGTTTTAAAACAAAACAAAAACAAAACAAAACAATGTTTCTTTTTCTCATTAGAAAACAAATGAGTTAAAAAACTTATCATTAGTATTGTTATCTTCCTCCTTCCCCCATAATTTCCCTTTTGACCGTTGACTATTTTGCATTTATCATTTTATCCTTCCCATAGAAGCCATTGGTTACTTTTGATAATATTTTATCTTAAAAGTGGCTTACAAATATTTTAATACATGGGTTGCATTTTCTTTAAAGCCAATGCTATTTAGCTTAATTGATTAAAATATAGTAATGATTAGTACAAGCTAGAATAAAATGCTTAATTGCTACAGAAAGAATCTCTAATTATGTGAGCAGTTTTACATGCTTAGGTCAAAAAACGGGGATGGATAACTGAGTTTCAGCATTTCGGCGAAACTCTCCCTAACTTTCATAGGTAAGGACACAAAAGTCATGTCTACTAATAAGGGATTGGTAGTGTCACCTCAATCCCTTTATAATATGATACTAATATTGCTCCCTTTCCATAGTAGCCAATTCCAATGTAAAGTTAATATACCTTACACATTGTATTAAGTTAACAGTAACTTTATACATTGACTTCAAGGACTTCATCATTAAAAATTCCTGGAATGGTTTTCCTTTTACAAAATAGGACTTTATACATGGTTGTATGTTTTGCAGAAACAAGTTTTTCCCATAGGACTCATGAGTAGAAATAACCTTTCACAGTGAAAACCGCTTTTCTTTTTTTAATTGCTAGTTTTCCTTTAGATCATAGCTATGTTTTGGTTTTTCCTTTTTAATGAAGGAGTATGGCAAAACTTGATTCAAAACATGTTTTCTGGAAATGTTAGTGTTGCTTTCTAAACTTCTTTTCCAAATAAGATACAAATATGATTTATCTATATTCAGTATATACTTTCTGTTAGTTTATTGAATGTTTTTATTAATAAATACTGTAAACACTAATCCATGAAATAAATCATCTGCAGCCTGATGACAATATAGCTATATGATTAATAACGTGTAATAACTTGTACAAATACAAGTAAACCACAATTTCTATCTTTTAATGGCAACCCCATAAAGGCTAATGAGGTTGTTTTCGTAATGTTGACTGGACATTGTTAATTTCTCTTATTTTTAATGCAACTTTTGACAATTTGTGTATTTTTATGTAATGCCAGGTACTGATGGAGTTCCCCAAAATTGAATCTGTACATCCACAAAAATATGCAATGGATGTAGAAAATAAAATTCAAGAAAAGAACGTTGAACCAAATATTAGCTTTGATGGCAGCATACAGTGTTCTGGAAAAGATGCCATTCTTTTTAAGCTTGAAACTGCAGAAGAAATTCACAGGAAAAATCAACAAGATAGTGATCTCTCTGTGAAAATGCTAAAAGATTTTCTTGAAGATGACACTGACGTGAACCAGTATCTTTTACCACCAAAGTCATTGCTGCGATATGCTCTTCTGTTAGACATTGTTCAGCCCACTTGTAGAAGGTCCGTGTGCTTTACCAAAGGGTAGGTTTTAAAGATCTATTGATCCTGTATCCAAAATAACCAGGTTTTTTAAAGCTATTGTTTCTTTAAGTTCTTCTAAAAACAAGGAGCATTTTATAAAATGTTTTTGCTAGAATGAGGTATTTTCCCTTAATTGCCTACTTCATGTTCCAGTAGAACACAAGTAAAAATTCCGTTTGGCAGAACATTATGTGCACCACCCACAAAAGTGCTCATAAAAGACAATGTCATTTGTTTGGTGACCTTCATAGGAGCTTAAATACCCGTAGTGGAGACATGGTTTCTGTAGACTATTACTTGCTAATTCTTTAGCACTTCTGTGGCACATCATACCTCAAGTGTTCACTCTTATGATCAATGTATAATAAGAAATTAAATTTTAAACTAAAGATGTAATATTGAGTCATCTGGAGAATACTAGGGTAACTTTTAAATTTAAATTTTATTCAGGTTTTTATATAAGTAATATATGCCCAAGGTTTCCAATTCAAAAGATAACTAAGATTGTAAGACTCCCTTCCATTTCTGTCTCTTGACCATTCAGTTCTTCTCCCCACATGTGACCAATGATATCAGTTTACTGTATAATCTTCCAGAGGTATTGTATCTGAAAGTGTATTTAAGTATCCATGTATATTTTATCCCCCTTTATAAGTAAATGGCAGGATATTATATATATGCCCCTTTTTTCACTGCACAATATAAATAGAATATTATCGCATATCAGTACTTAAAGGACTTTCTGTTTTCATGGTGTAGGTATATTATATAATTTACTTTACTGGTTACCTATTCATGAACATTTAGAGGGCTTCCTTTGGGTTATTACTTGAACATTTAATACAGTTCTCACTAATTTTTTTAAACCTAGAAAGGGGAAAATTAGACCTTTTTAAGAAAAATTTTGGCCGGGCACGCTGGCTCATGCCTGTAATCCCAACACTTTGGGAGGCTGAGGCAGGTAGATCACCTGAGGTCAGGAGTTTGAGACTAGCCTGGCCAACATGGTGAAACCCTGTCTGTACGAAGACTACAAAAATTGACCAGGCATGGTGGTGGGTGCCTGCATTCCCAGCTACTTGGGAGACTGAGGCAGGAGAATCGCTTGAATCTGGGGGGCAGAGGTTGCAGTGAGCCGAGATCATATCCCTGCACTCCAGCCTGGGCGACAGAGTGAGACTCTGTCTCAAAAAAAAAAAAAGAAAAATTTTGCCAAGGATCTCTGTCTGTGCTTTCTGAATGCTACTCAACCTCATTTGGTAGGTAGTTGTATGATTTGTCAATTCAGGCTTTCTGTTCTTACCTTCTAGCTAGCTATTAATATCTTGTATGATACACTGTACCCCAGTAGAACCATACCAGAGTCATTCTGAATTTATTATACTCTGCCCTTGTACTTCAGGGGAAAGAGTTTATTGCTTTCCATTATCTTGAAAGACTTCACTGGGCTGTTGTCAATTACCAAGTTCAATAGGTTCTGTTTAGGACTCTCATAAAATAAGACTTAGCAATTTTGTAATAAAAAACAACCTTGAAATTCTTTTCTAATTATAAAGATGGCATAAAAGGAGCCTGATGGTAAAATTTATTTTGGTATAGATACTGTGTGTATATACACACGTATTTATATGTGTAATATATATGAAAAAGACAGTTTGAAAAAAATTATTTTTTTCCTGGTTTGACTTTTTCCCTCTAATTCTTATTTTAAACTGTTTTCTTTGTGAAAAAGAAATAATGCTAATATGTTGAACAGCCAGCTTGGCAATAATCTTAGAGAGAGAAATACTGCTAATGACTTGCATTTCTGAAGTGTTTTATACTTTCTATGGAGTTTTTTATATAATGGTCTGATTGTTGTATGAAAGTGATCATAAAATCATACTGTGTTAAATGACAAGCAGACATAGGATCAGTGGCACTGTGTTTGCTGTGGTGTTAGAGAGCAGGGCGGTGGGTTCCTGAGAGGAAATGATGGTTCAGGCCTGATAAAAATGGCAGCAATTTCTTTTCACCTGTACAACATTTAGGTTAATGTGGCAAGGGAGCCAATATTGAATTATATTTGAATATAAAGTGCATCCTTTCCAGTGATGAACATTCAAGACAAGACAATTAATAAAAAGAAATGACAATTTATATTTCATCATTCAGTGGTGTTTACTCAACTCAAAAAACTGTGCCATGTTTCATTTCTGAGACATTTATTATTTATTATCATTTTTTTGAGATGGAGTCTCACTCTGTTGCCCAGGCTGGAGTGCAGTGGCGTGATCTTGGCTCACTGCAACCTCCGCCTCCCAGGTTCAAGAGATTCTCCTACCTCAGCCTCCTGAGGTAGGCACGCACCACCACGCCTGGCTCATTTTTTAAATATTTTTAGTAGAGACAGGATTTCACCATGTTGGCCAGGCTGACCTCGAACTCCTCTGACCTCAGGTGATCCACCCGCCTGGGCCTCCCAAAGTGCTGGGATTATAGACATTAGCCACTGTGCCCGGCCCATTGATGAGACGTTTAAATGAAACTATATTATGTCTTTTACCTAGTAATTTTTTACCTACAAAGGATATTTATGTGACATTATTCAAGATATTTCAGAAGGATGTAACTGTGTAGATTGATTAATTCATTCAATAAATATTTAAGAAATTTAGCATTAACACATACATCAGGTGCTGCATAATTGTTGTGTTGATTTTTCAGATATGGAAGCTACATAGAAGGGACAGGGTCTGTGTTACAGACTGCAGAGGATGTGCAGGTACTATGCATGTTTTAAAGCTAAAACACTTTAAAACTTTTAACTAAAATTGTTTAATACTTTGAGAACATTAGAATAATTTTATGCATTCAACTGGCCATGAATATATATTTTATTCATTCATATGTATATTCATATATATAATATTTTATTACTGTGGAATAAATCTTTTTCTTGTTGCTCTACATGAGTATATGCACAAGGAATGTTTTATGTTTTTCTTTTTCTTATTTTTACCTTCTGCTTTTCTTTTATTCCATAAATAGTAGTTGAAACTCAGCCTACAATAGTTAATGTTCTCTAAAATGTTGTACAAACATCTTAATATTGGAGCCCTCCTTTGCAGCACACACTATAAAACTTCCTTTTAAGGAAAAAAATAATCTTAACAATGTGCTTTATGAATACTTCAGTTGTTAACTCTTCATGGTGTCATGGTTGAATACAAGTCTAATATATAGCAAGTTTTATATTTTTTTGAATACTTTTAAAGTGAGATCACATTATCTTTTATACTGATTCAAACTTTTAACTACTGATAAAATTTACCCATGGTAAAAATTCTGTTATAGGCAATTGAATATCTGGATTTGAGAAATTATATTTGCTTAATATATTTAATCATTTTAAGGAAGTATCTTGATGAACCTGAGTATAAAAATAAAAGTTTTAATGATTCTCCTGTTTTATTGTAAAATTGACTTTGTTGTTTTGTCAAGCTTCTTTTGCATTTTTCACTATATTTCTTTTATATTGTCATTTATTGTTTATACTCTTATGATTTTAAGGGCTCAAAAATGACAGACACCCTGAAAAATATCCTGATCTGTTGAATGTTAACCTTTTTTTCTTTTCAAAGTTTACATTGCCCTTATTGAGCCAATATGTAGTCTATTGCACAGAGCCATTTTGCCCTGTGCACTTTGCCACTGTGTGTTACAGCAGACTGTATGTCCATCGAGTTTCAACTATCTCACAGCAGGAGATCTTAAATCTAGTTGCACATTACTTTTTTAGTTATCTTGGGTATTTTCTTACAGGTTGAGAATATCTACAAATCCCTTACCAATTTGTCACAAGAAGAACAGATAACAAAGCTGTTAATACTTAAACTGCGATATTTCACTCCTAAAGAAATAGCAAATCTCCTTGGATTTCCTCCAGAGTTCGGTATGTGGGATACGTGCAGAATTCAGCTTTCATGTATTAAAACTCTCAAAAATCTTTAGGGACTTGTGTGTCTAGGACTTGCCTAAACAAATGGGCTCAAGAAACCTCTTTCCTTTCCTGATCATGCCATTTATGGCATCTTTCTGCCCTCTTTCCCCTCATAACTGCCTCATTCGGTTCTCTACTGACTCATTCTCCCCCTCTCTAACTCCAGTAGTGGGTCACAGAGGTTGGCATGGCTAGAAGGGTCACATTGGCAACTCCTTGCCTCTTTCCACAGATGGCTGTGCATAGCATCCCCTTTCCAGCTTATTTTCTTTTCCAGAGGTCCTCTCCTAATCACCCCACACTAGAGCTTGTGAAAGAATGCTTTCGATTGGCTTTTTATAAATTAAAAGGCAGTTGAGGGATTATTTTCGAAGGGTGGGGGTGTATTGGTATTTATTCTCCTCAGAGATACACCTGTGTCAGCTGTGTGCCCCTATCCTTCCCTACAAGGGGTAGGTGGAGAAAGAGGAGGTGGAGAGGCTGTCTAGGAAGGAGCTTTCATAATGGAATGAAAGGGGGACTCAGAAGATGAAATTGACACAGGAGATGAATTGACACAGAGTTAATGAAAGATTGGGGATCTACAGCAAGGAATCTCAAGAACAAATGGGAAGATTTAGTTGTAGAGTGAGAAAGTCAAAGGCCTAATTCCATTGGCAGTCCAAGAAGTCCAGGGATTGGTGCTCTGAAGAGATTGGACACACTGCTTTGGCCTTCTCAGAGATGCCCCAGCCCATCTCCCTGATCCCACTACCGGGGCCAGTGCTCTCAGCTCTGAGGAGGCTGTGGGTTTCTTAGGCCTGGGGTGGGCATGCTCCCAGTACCTGGCTGATGGGCTGGGAGGAAGACTCACGTCCCTCGAATGCTTCCCTGGCTAGAGAAGGAGGAAATGTGCTTTTGAGGACTCTTGAGAGTTTGAATGCAGAAAAGTCAAACTTTGTTAAGTCCAATACTTTTGTAATATTAATATGGCACTATCCCTCAAATAAATAATGGGTTTAATAGATCGTGTTTCAAATTCTAAATAATGGATTTAAGCTGAGGTTTTGGAACACAACCATTTTGTACATAGGGAACAAACTGCCAATATAATTTGACTACTCTCTTGGTAATTGATTCTCTGAGTGTAGTCGCAGCAACCAGTTTTATTTTGTACTCCCTGCCTCTTTCTTGGTGATCTCATTTTTGTCCCAAATATCCTGGGGAGTGTTGTTTAAGAAAAACACAAACTTTCCTTGTAGTTTATGTCACAAAACGAGTGACAGCATTACAAAACAAATAGAAGAGCTGAGAATTAGACTTAAGAATTCTCATTCCTAGTCTGCTTTCCTAGCTACTATTTTTTTTTCCTTTTTTCAGATGAGCAATCAGACATACTCTTGAAGACAGAAAAGAGATTAACTATTCAATTAAAATGAATTCCTCAGCTTTTCTTCAGTGCTTTTTTGTTTTCAAAGGGCAGTAGTCACTTTGGTAATACTGAACCTTGGTAAGGAGCACAGAGCCCAGAGTCAGACTGAATGATTTCATATCCCAGCCCCACCTTAACCGTTCCCTTCTTTAGTTTACTTCTCTGTAAAATGAGGATGATCATAACTCCTGCTTCATAGAGTTATTGTGATAGTTAAATGAGTCAATGTTTATGAAATTCTTATCTAATATCTGAGACATAATGTAAAATTTGTTTTAGCTTTCATTTTTAGAATGAGCCATGTATTTACTTTTATAATCTTTATTTCATAAATATTTTTCTCATTTTTTAAAATTTTAAGTTGGTGAAATAGAATTTTTCAAAGCTCTTTGAATATATATGTATAATACTTAGAAAAACAGCCTTTGAAATTACTGAACCTCCTTCTAAAATACGTGATATGTTTTTGGAGTTGAGCTTACCCTGATGTCACCACTGAGCAGCACCGTGACACAACTGTCCCTCATGTGTGTTTCCAACATTATTGACCCTGGGTCCAAAAATGGGCATTGTTTGAGCTGTTTGTCTACTGGCAATGATGGATCTGCATTGATCCTTCCAAACCCTCTGTCCTGGTTCTGTGACTGGTGGTGTGTATTCTGCGGTAGCGGGCTTTTGAAGAAAAACACTAACCTGTCCTTACGGGTGAAAGCTGATATCTTGACCTTGTTCATCCCATGTTTCTTTGTTTTTGAGGATTATTATTGTTATTTTTAATGTATCTAAGTTTTTTAAAAGTTGTCTTTTAACTTAAAAAATTATGTCATTTTTTTCACAAATTGTTAGATTGGTAGAAAAGTAATTTGCCATCACTTTCAGTGGCAAAAACTTCAATTACTTTTGTGCCAACCTAATAGTTTAGATTTAAAGAAATATGCACAGATGCTTTACTTTCAGTGGCAAAAACTGCAATGCTTTTGCACCAACCTAATAATTTAGATTTAAAGAAATATGCACAGATGCACGCACACACACACACATGCACACACACATAGATATAATTTGTACGAATCTTACTTATTTGTTTTCAAACCTTTCTTTCCTTCTGAGGTAATTGTAATATTGCAAAAGATCATCTCTGGGATAGTCTAAAAGCCTGTTTGTAGGTACATTTGTACCTCTGGCTACTTTGAAGTAAATAATTTTAGATAAATAATGTGCTTACCTAAGATATTATCTTTAGAATAGAAACTTTATGATCATGTTTAATTGCAACAGTAATTGCTGTTATTTTATTGCAGTTAATAAAATGTCAAGTGTCAATGAAGCAACTTTATTGTAACTAATTCTACCTTCCTGTCCTCATGAGTATATGAAATTTTGCTATTCTTAATGCTCCTAATTGTTTTTCATTTTCTTATCTAACTTATTTTTCCTTTATTTCCTTGCTATGCTAGAGTATGCTGAATGTGGAATCCTGCCATTATAACTAACATTATAGTGCACACGCTTGTACGTGGACAGTCTTTTATGCTGATATTTGCAAGGCCTTCTTCCAGCATATAAGGGATCCATGGGCCTTTTTGTTTTAAGAAAGGAATGTAGCAAATGGAAGTCCAATATGAGAAAGGCAATTTGTGGAAGCAGAGTGTAAAAACACCCGTGGGGTACTTGTATCCAGAATAGGTAAAGGACTCTTACCATTCAACAATTAAAAAAAGAGAAATCCAATTTTAAAATGGGCAAGGATTTGAGTCAACATTTCTCCAAAAGGAATAGATAAATGGCCAATAAGCACATTAAAAATATGTTAGTTAGTTATTAGGGAAATGTAAATCAAATCACAATGTGATATTACTTCATACTCATTAGGATGGCTAAAATAGAAAAGACAAGCAATAACAGTATTGATGAAGATGTGGAGATATTGGAACCCTCATACACTTTTGGGTGTGTGAATGTGAAATGGTGCAGCTGCTTTGAAAAACAGTCTAATGGTTCCTCAAACATTAAACATAGAGTTAGTGTGTGACCCAGCAGTTTCACCCCTATGTATATATCCAAGAGAATTGAAAATACGTATCTATACAAAAACATACATGAATGTTCATAACAGCATTATTCTCAACAGCCAAAAAAGTAGATACAATCCAAATGTCTATGAACGAATGAATGGAAAAATAAAATGTGATAAATCCATACAATAGAATATTATTCACCACCAACAAGGAATGAAGTATTAATACATGCTATGACATGAATGAATGTTTAAAACATGTTTAGTGAAAGAAACCAGACACAAAAGACAACATATTTTATGGCTCCATTTATATGAAATATAATCCAGTAGACACTCCTAGAAACAGAAAGTAGATTAATGGTTGGGGGCCGGGAGGTAGTAGGGAGTGACTGCTAATAGGTACGAAATTTTTTTTTGAAGAAATGAAAATATTCTGGAATTAGATAATGGAGATATTTGAAAAACTCAGTGACTATACTAACAACCTCTTAATTGTACACTTTAAATGGGTGATTTTTATGCTATGCAAATTATATCCATAAAAGGATTATTAAATCAAAGAAAGAACTGTGAAATAATAGCAGCCACAGCTTTTTTAAAAAGTGCACTAATACATGCATTTCTCTGAGTTCTGTGGATATTATATGTGTACATGTGTGTGTGCTGAGCATAACACATAATGTGATGTGTTACTATCTCACTGTGTAGGCAATATAATGTTATAGAATATTTTTGGCTCCAAATTCTCTTTTGTTAATAAAACTTCATGGAGACCTTAGTGATTTACTTATGAAATGACCGCTGTGCCCTTACTAAAGGATACATCCTTTCATCTCTGGAAATTGTGATTACAAATGATTTCTTTAAATTGTTCTTTGTCTTTTTAGGATTTCCTGAGAAGATAACAGTGAAACAGCGTTATCGCCTACTTGGAAATAGTCTCAACGTGCATGTAGTAGCTAAACTAATCAAAATCTTATATGAATAATTTTGAAATAACTCTGAAAGATGGTCATATGATATTCCTTCATTTTCAGAGAGTAATTCTGAAATTCTGTTTTGAACTAATTCTGGTGAAATTTAACTAAATTATTTTAATCTGTCCTTATTAAGAAATTTGGATTTTATTAAAAAAATCCATGTGTTTCATCAAATTTATATTACTGTATTTTATAAAATACGAACTATTGTTATGCTTTATGGAGAGTATATTTTCATATGAAACTGATAAATATATATGTGGAATATTCTTTTTAAAAACAATTTTATAAACAAATCAAGGAGCACTAGAGCTTTAGTGTCTACATGAGTATCTTGTGAAGTGTCATAACAGGCATAACATATTTTTATGTTAATTAAAGAAGTTTTTTATTTCTAATTTTAAAATAATGATTCTAATTCTAGCCCATTGAATGTTTTACTTAATTTCCAATCCTGTAAATATTTCTTTATTTCATCTAAACAAATGCATATGATATGTAAACCAAATTATCATCATTCAGTTTATACAGCAGACTGAAGAATATGTCAGGAAAAATAATCCTAAATGTTTGATTACCTCTCCATGAAGCGGCCACAGAAACTGTTGGTGCACATTATCTACATTTTCCTCAGCCTCTATCTGAAGGACAAAACTCATTTTTCCTTCTTCATTTTGTATGTACTTTCCTTTAGTTGACTATTATCAAAGCTTGTTTTTGTCTTCTCAGCTTCTGAGTTGAATTTGCCTTTGCACGCTGAGGAATGTAGCATGACGTTAAGATTTCAGGGAGGAAGCTGCCCTCTGATCCCATGTCATATGACAGTACTCCCCTCCCCCCAGTTGTTCTTTATTGTAGCAACATACACTCTCAATGAACTTTTATGACTTTTAACTTTCTCTGTCTCTCTTCCTCAGCAGACCTCTTGGAATTAGGGTTTCTAATCAAACTAAGTCTTGCATCATAAATTCTATGGTTTGTGATAAAAGCAAGTGACAAAGAGAAGAGAGATGAAAAGAAACAAGTCCAGAAATCATATTACAAGATTTTAATTCAAATTTTTCTTCTTAAAAATCAGCTATTTAGAGGTGGATAAATTGGAAGTTTGTGCATTGCTTGTGGGAACGTAAAATGGTTCAGCTGCTGTTGGAAAACGCTATGGAGGTTCGTCACAAAATTCAACATAGAATTACCCTATGATTCAGCGATTCCACCTCTGGCTATAGATCCAAAAGAATTGAAAGCAGGGACTTGAACAGATATTTGTACACCAGCGTTTATAACACCATTATTTACAGTAGCCAAAAGGTAGAAGCAGCCCAAGTGTCATCCCATTCACCCATGAATGGATGCAGGAATTGTGTTCCGTGCATGCAGTGGAATAGTACCAGCCTTCCGCAGGAAGGAAATTCTGACATATGCGGTGACATGGATGAACCTTGAGTACATTATGCGAAGTGAAATAAGCCACCCTGTGGGGATGGAGAATGGGTAGTTAGTGCATAATGGATACAAAGTTTCTGATTGGGGTGATGAGAAAGTTCTGGAGGTGGATGGGGAGGATGGTTGCACAACAGTGTGAGTGTACTTAATGCCACTGCAACTGTATATTTAAAAATAGTTAAAATGATAAATTTTACATTATGTATATTTTACTGCAATTGAAAAAATCATACTCTATTACCAATTTTTCAGAACTCATAGATAAATATGAATGTAGGGAAGCTGTAAGCCAGCCCATATACAGAAACTATCACTATCTACATTTTTCATATGTGTTCAGACAGAGCCTATTACAAGTCTCATAAATTTCAGTAAACAATCACAAATTATTTTGGCACACTTTCATGTAGGTTCTGTTCACTGCTGAAATATTCTAAATAAAATGGTTTAGAGTTTTACTGTAACTATGAATAATTATGCTATAATTATAGTATCCCACATTCGGTTGAGCAACATTATACAAAATAAGTGTCGAGTTACTGTGCACCAACTATAAATACTTGAAAGGTCTGTAGAGACATTTGCTTACAAACTGGTAGACAGAATGTAGCTTAGTGGAATTCTTAAATTATGGGAATGTATTCACAGGAAGACGGTGATTCTTGCCCTTAATTCATAATTGAAAATATGCAGTAACAAGCATAAAACTCACATCTTAATGAAGATGTATCTACCAGTGTCATTCAATTAGCAGATGTATATGTATGCATAATTAATTTGGAAAATGTTATTTTATGGAATGTCTGCTATATGCTTTTGGTAATAATGCTGTATATAAAATTTGCACTGGAAATTCTGTTTCCTGATATTTGGACTTGTACATTTATTCAGATGTTGGAAAACATAGCTTCTCATTTTCAGGAGAACTATGTGTAATTCAGTCTTCACCATACCTTACAGTAAACCGATTTTTCGTTCTCCTTTTCCCATCATCCCTGCTCTTTTAAACGGCTTGCCAGATAATTGTAAGGTATTTATTACCCTGCTTCATATTTTTAGTATGTCTTCAGGATCCAAAACTAATTCTAAGAGATGACCAAATCAATTAATGTAAACAAAATGAGTCATAGTTGGAAAATGATTTCGAAGAGGTGGGTAGTCATTGTAGGAGGGGTCAGAGCCTGACAATCCTCAGTGGCAGGCAAGAAAGAGGAATGATGGCATCACCTTCACAGAGGACCCTGGCCATGGTGTTCTGTCTGTGAAATCAGACCTTCACCATGGGCACTGCCCTATGTCTGGAAAGATGAGAAAATACCTCCAACCTTCAGCCAACTTATTCTTCCTCAAAAAGGAGAGCCTTCTAAAGAGGCAAAAACAGTAGTTGAAATTGTGAACAGTGAGGGTCCACCCAGCACTTTTTTAGAAATTTGAGGGTAAACTGTTGCTTGAAATTATCCAACTTTTCAAAGAGGTAAAGTTATTTAGTAGAGAGGCTTTTAAGTTGCCCTGAAAGGCTGTATTGCTACCATGTGGGATGTAAAATTGGATGGGGTTAGAGATGAGTGCAGGCAATTCAACGCATTGGTAGGGGTGGAAGTTCTCAGCAGAAATCACCATCTGGGTTTTTGCTCCCATCTCAACCTAGTTGAGGTCTAGAGTGATTAAGCTGGAGACTTCTGAGGAGAGAGAAATGAACTAAAGATAAATACAACTGATTTAATTTTAGCCATAGCAGAACAGAACAAAGAAGCAACCACATTTCATCTAATATCAAGCACCTACTAAAGGATGCATTCTGCAGGCCAGCTGCATCTGCATCCAAACCAAAGTCACTCTGGTTGCTCTTTTGCTTTGATAACTTAAGAGTTTAGAAACAAGCGGTTTCTAAAAAAGCCAAGATAACACAATAAGGACCAAATTTTAATCCCACATAGACAAAGAGATTAAAGTGGGTTTTCCTGAATTGCTTATGTTATGAACAGGTTACCTTGTCATAATTTGGCCTTCGGCTTGGGATTCTAACTGTTTTAGGCCACCAGTTATGACACTGACTTACTAATAGCTTTGGACTTTGAAACTGTGTGAGGGTCATATAGCCTCAGCAGTTTTCTTGTAGCCTGTGATTGCATTGAGATTATATAATTTTTAAAGACATGGCCTTTGGACCTCTGTCTACTAGTTAATCTCTTCCATCTACCATTCAAATGTGCTATATACAACTATCATATCAGCTTCTTAGCAAGCACTTTTCTGGACCTCTGTCACACCCACCAAGATGTCTAGTTATGCCTTTCATTTGAGAGTTTCCCTTTGCTGTTTTTTTTGTTTTGTTTTGTTTTGTTTTGTTTTGTTTTTGAGACTGAGTCTCGCTCTGTTGCCTAGGCTGGAGTGCAGTGGCGTGATCTCGGCTCACTGCAATCTCCCCCTCCTGGGTTAAAGTGATTTTCCTGCCTCAGCCTCCCTAGTAGCTGGGATTACAGGCGCATGCCACCACACCTAGCTAATTTTTGTATTAGTAGAGATCGGGTTTCACCATGTTGGCCAGGCTGGTCTCGAACACCTGACCTCAAGTTAATCCACCCACCTTGGCTTCCCTAAGTGCTGGGTTTTACAGGCATGAGCCACCACGCCCAGCCTCCCTTTGCATGTTTTTTAAAAAGGCATTAAGCATCTTGCACATGTTCTTTAGTTTCAGTTTGCATGAGTCAACCTGTGTGCATCATTTTCCCTTTCACTATTTCTTGTCTTTGCTGGTGAAATTTTAAAGCTTCAGTTTAAAAAAAAAAAGAAAAAGTATTTTTTGTTGTTGTTGTTTCTAGCTTCCGTTTCTCTCTTTAGGCTGTCTAGGAACATTTTAAGGTACTCATGCTCTTCAAAATCTTACACAATCAAGATCCAAACTCCATCACCATTCATGTCTTAGCTTGTGAATTTATTTCTTTTTAAATATATTTGTTCAAGAAATATGAGCATGTACAATGAGCTGTTTTGGCTTTGTATTCCCCAAGTTCTCATATACATTGGCTTTATATTTACCATAGATTCTGAGTCTTACTTTCAGCCACATCCAGCACTTACTGAAGTCTCCCTCAAGTACACCACACTTGACTCCTAAAGCTTCCAAAATCTCATTTTTCCTATAAATATGAGACCGGAAATTTTCACAAAAATTACAAGATAGGAACTGAGTTCTCCCATAGAACTCTTTTCTGAATAAGCCTAGGGTTTTTTCATTTCTTTGCTTGTACCTAGCATGGCTTCAGTGTTTACTTCAAATATTTGCTCTGTATTTTGTTTGCATTTTGATTTCTATTTTTATCAGGACAGATTGAAATTATAAGAGTGTACATAGAGAACATGTTTGTTTAGCTAAATTAGCTCTATAATCAGATGAGATCACCTAGAGGGTCAGAGGATGAGAGTGAAAGAGAGAAAGAGAAAAAGAAGAGCAGAGGCTTGGAGCTGACTTATCTGAAGGTTCCGTCCTCAGGTCTCTTTCTACCCTTCACTTTTCATGCCATTTTTCTTAGAGATTCTCACCCTTTCCTACAACTTCAGCCATTTTGCCGATGACACCCAGATGACTCTAAATCTGCTGTTTTCCTAAGTCCTATTCTAGAATCTTCATGCTGGGACATTTTTAACTTGGATATCTTGCTATTCAAGTTGTATCGGATTTGCATCAAATTTAGCATGCTTGCAACCTAAGCACACTCCATTCTATAGTCAGTTCCACTCTTGACTTTAATATTTATGGTACGGTTAGTCTCCACATCTTCCAAGTTCAAGCTTCATAACCAAAGATCATCTTCACCTTCCTTCTCACTCTGCATTCCATTGGTCAGCTTCTGTTAAAATGGCCTTCCTAAGGCAGGCCTCTGAACGATCATTTATTTTTAGGAAAACTTATAAAAAGTCACTGAGATTTAAAAACACCCACACATATATTTGCAATCATATTTGTGTGCTTGGTTAAACATGTCAACATTTAACAGATTTGAGCCTTCTAAATTTAATCCAGCATGAATGTCGTTTTTACTAAAATATTTGCTATTTTACTCACTTAGCTGGTTCCTTACACAAGTCCAGTTAAATTTCACATGTGAAAAAAATGACTGAAAACACTGAATGGAATGTGATACTCCTTGTGTAGTAGAAATGAGTTGACTTTCATATTTAAGAGCTGATCCTATGAATGAGTAGACAATAAGCTGAATAGCTGTTACGATCTGAGTTTTAAAAATGGAAAATGTTTCATGTTTTAGAGAATGTAAACTTCCACAAGGGCAGAGATTGTTAATACGTTGTCCCCCCAGTGACTTAAAACAGTACTGGCACATAGTAAGCACTCAATAAATAGTTGTTGAATGAGTGAATGTAGGAACCATACTGGAATCAATATTGAAGCTACATAGAAAGCACCACACTGTGGAGTTCAAACAATGTCTTTAAGTTGTTCTCTTGAAAACTATTTAATTTGTCTGTTACTGCCACTTCTTCCATGCCCAGAGGAACAGCCAAAGTTACTCAAGTCTGGAACACATGATTTAAAAAATAATTCTGGGATAGGCTTTTGGCTTTTGGAAAGTAGCGCAAATAAAACTTTTTAAAATACTGTATTCTGACTTCTGGTCTTGACAAGAGAGTGTAGATTTATTTCTCCCTGCTCCTCCCTGAAAAGTGTAATTATAAACTCTGGGTAAGTATAATTATAAAATAATGCAAGAGGAATCAGAAGGAGAATTCTGAAAGGTGGGACCAGGAAGACACACTGCGGAGGGACCCCAAGACTAGAGGAACAACATGGTTCCAAGACATCTGACCCCTCACCCAACAGAGGAAGGTTACCCAGGCTTGATGTTTCCCGACCTACAACCACACAATAGAAGACAGCCCAGAGAGGCTCGTTCCTACAGAAGAGGGAACTGAAGTCTGGTCGGTAATACCAGATGAGTCTGGCTCTACCAGCACGGGGGTATATCAGGAATCCCACTGACAAACATCCAGACCTGAGACTTGTCTTTTGTGCTGAGAGATGAGCATCCAGGGGCCTCTGGCAAAAAGCATCTAACCCAGGAAGATTTTTTATTACCCTGAGCCTGAGACTCCCTTCTCCCAGAGATACCATGGGACCTGGCTTGGGAGAAAATCCTTCTTTCCCTAAAGTAGCATCATGAAGGACCATTCGGGAACCCCAGCAGCACCAGATAAACCAAGCAGACCAAAATAACACTGCAAAGGCTTTAAAAACTAAATTACCACTGGACTCATAGCCCACAAAAACTAAGCCAGGGCTTGCATGCTAAACACAAATGGAGTGACTGCCTACTAAAAATAAAAGATTAAAATAATAGACAAAAGGTTCAGGATACGATGTAAAATAGCCTGTCATACCAAGAACCAGAAAAATCACAACTTGAATAAGAAATGACAGTCAACAGATGACAACACTGAGACAAATCAGATGTTGGAATTACTTGACAAGGATTTTAAGCAACTCTCATAAAAATGCTTCAACAGGTAATTACAAGTTGTCTTGCCACAAAAAATAGAAAAGCTCAGCAAAGAAATAGAAGTTAACAAAAGAACCATTATGGTAGGTGCACTATATGCCAATTTTTAAGAATAGAAATAAATGGCAGTTATGTAACTGAAAAATAACCAAAATAGAAAACATTCTGTGGTAACAGATAATTTGATTAGATCCTGGACATTTTGTCTGTTACATTAACTTTATTTTCAGAAATTTAATTATGATGTGTCTTGGCATGAATTTCTTTCAAAGTGGCAGATATTTCAAAGTGAATGTAATATCCTGTTTGGTGTTCATTCACCTTCTTGAATCTGTACATTTATATCTTTTGCTAAACTTGAGATCAGTAGTAGAGAGGAAATGACAGAAGATAGAAATCAGTGAACCTAAGGACGGATCAGTAGAATTTACCTGATCTAAATGATAGGGCAAAGATAGGCTGACAAAAAAAATTAACAGAGCCTTGGGGACCTGTGGGACAATAACAGAAGAACCAACATTTATATGTTTGGGGTGCCAGAAGTAGAGGGGAAAAAAATGGAGCTGAAAGAGCATTTAAATAATGGCTGGAAACATCCCAAATTTGGCAAAACCTTAAAAGCAGCTGGAGGCTGGGCGCGGTGGCTGACACCTGTAATCCCAGCACTTTAGGAGGCGAAGGGGGGCAGATCATAAGGTCAGGAGATAGAGACCATCCTTTCCAACATGGTGAAACCCCGTCTCTACTAAAATCAAAAAAATTAGCCGGGCATGGTGGTGCATGCCTGTAGTCCCAGCTACTCGGGAGGCTGAGGCAGGGGAATGGCTTGAACCCAGGAGCGGAGACTGCAGTGAG
Source organism: Homo sapiens (assembly GCF_000001405.40). Lineage (NCBI taxonomy): Eukaryota > Metazoa > Chordata > Mammalia > Primates > Hominidae > Homo > Homo sapiens. Next base: position 17,141,233 of record NC_000010.11, on the reverse strand, counting down.
CTGAGATCGTGCCACTGCACTCCAGCCTGGTGACAGAGTGAGACTCCGTCTCAAAAAAATAAATAAATAAATAAAAGCAGCTGGAGAAAAATGACACGTTGCCATGGGGCGGGGGACACAATTTGGATGACAGTAGATGTCTCATCCAAAACCATGAGGACCAGAAGGAGGTGGCATTGTCAACTATGAATTCTATATCTAGCCAAACTATCCTTCAAGAGATCTCTGTTTTATCTATATATGTATCGATACACATATACCTCTATGCAGCTCTTTACAATTATTAGGGCGAGCAGGTAGTTAACATGGAATTAGGCTTATCTGATATGTGAAATAATCAAAGATGAAAGGAAGACACCTAACGTATAGCTAATGATTATAACTGTGAAATTATTCATCTAAAAATAGATTGGAATAAAATAATGATAGCAGTTATGTTAGAGTAATAGCATTTTAATTTTTCTTGTTTATATTTTTCAATTGAATGTGATCTTTTTTGTTGTTTTTGTTTTCATCAATGTGGCATAATATTAGTTTTATCATTTAAAATGTTCTTTCTTTCAAAACACTCAGTTTCAAGTCTTTACTGTAGAGTCTGTTCATTGTAAGCTTGTAAGTTGCTACCTCATTTGCATCTTGATGCTATGTAATATAATCCCCTCCCCTGCTGACTTTTTTCCTCCAGAGCAGAAGCTACATCTTGCCCATTTGTGTATCCTCAGTACCTTTCTCAGATGCTGACAGATAGTGGGTACCTAATAAATAATTGTCCAATTAACTGACTTAGATATGAGTATGCTGAGTATGGTAATAGAATTGTAGGTTCTTTCATGGCTTGGGGGATTGTTTGAATAATTCTGTCAGCCAAAAAGAAAAGAAGTGCTGGGCATGGTGCCTCACACCTGTAATCCCAGCACTTTGGGAGGTCGAAGTGAACGGACCATGAGGTCAGGAGTTCAAGACCAGCCTGGCCATGATAAAACCCTATCTCTACTAAAGGTACAAAAAAAAAAAAAAAATAGCTGGATGTGGTGGCATGTGCCTGTAATCTCAGCTATTCAGGAGGCTGAGGCAGGAGACTCACTGGAACCTGGGAGGCGGAGGTTGCAGTGAGCCGAGGTCGTGCCATTGCATCATTCCAGCCTGGGTGACAGGGCAAGACTCTGTCTCAAAAAAAAAAAAAAAAAAAAAAAAAAGCACACTAGATGTTACTGGAAGAATATTTAATGCCAAAATTGTGTATAACTCCTAGGGTATTGTTTATGTCTCTTCTAAACATAGTCTAGGAATTGTTGACAAAGCTTGATTTAGCAGTACTTCCGTAACAAATATGGTCCAAGTCACTATAAAGAAAGCATACAAAGGTGTTGTTTTTTATAGATCTTAGAATAACGGCATTGAAAAAGACAGAAGTGAGGTCATCTCATCCTTTCTGCCATTGATGACAACACCTTAAATCTTCCCACAGATCTATGTGGCACTTCAATTAACAAATCCCCTGGGAATGATGCCCCTTTGTAAGGCATCAGCCTTGTTAAATCACTCCTCTAACCGTAAATCACATCCGTAATGCAAAGCTTCCTCTCACAAGATAAAGATGCCTGTGTGTACTGCTTCTGCGTCTATCTTCCCAATTAAAGGTACAAGAGGCAGAGTCTGAAGAGTGCCAGGTATCCCCAAACTTTGTTTTCTTTTTCTTTTTTTTCATTTTCCTTCCCAGAAGAGAACCAAACTGTTTTTTTCTTCCCCCCATCGGTGGTGACATCCTCACCTCTCTTGCTCTCCTCCCCTAATAGAACACAAAATATCATCACAAAGATGTACTTTCCCCTTTTCCTAAGATCAGATCCAATATAAGTTGTTTGCAGTTATTTACCACCTACATTTCTTCTGTCATTCATGCTGAAGTCTGAGTGCAATCAGACATTTTCCTTTGATTATCGTATGAATGGTGTCTAAATATTTAACTTCACCGCCTTGTTTGGGGAATTTTAGGGGTCACCAAGTAGAAAACTCATTTTGTCCTTTTTAGGTTGATTTGGAACAGGATGGCAGGAGGGTTCACCTATGGTAAACTCCGCTTCATTGCTTCACACCTTGGAAACCAAGCTTGGATTAATCCAATGGAGCTGCTGAAGTCCCCATTCCGGGAGCTGTTGGAGGTAGAGAAAGCTCTGTTGATTTTTTTACTAGCTTTTGGAGCCTTTAATCCTAGCAATTAGTATCTCCTCTGCTATGGCTGATCCTTATAATGATGCGAGACCCTCCAGTGCATATTTTATGTTTTCTGTAACATTTGCTTGAGTTACAATTAGGAAGCTGTGTGTGCACACGTGTGTATACATGTGCCACGAACACCCCTGTGCTCCTCCTCCAAAGCCCTATTCCCCTATTGCGTTTGTCCCTCTGGATTTGAATTTCGTTATTTTTTTCTCATTGTTTATGAAGGGATTATATTACTTAAAAAAAAAAACTTGAAAAAAGTGGAAAAGTTCTCCAAACTCTCAACAATCTGCTTTCTCAGGAAAAGCTCTGCCAAACCTCAGCAATTTAAATGTTAATGATTAACTCATAATTCTTTTTCATTCTACTCAAAGATAATTGTAGTCATTGTAATAATGAGCATGGAGAACAAATGTCTGCTTTATGTGCCTTGAGCCAAGACCACACTGCTTTCAAAAAGATCAGTTCATCACAGTAGTAGACTTGGTAATTTCCTACATGGTAATGCACTTCCCATGAAATGAGCAAAAGAATAGTTTTAAATGTACCTTGATTTCCATCATTATTTTATGTAATCCTTCATGGAAAATGAAAGAATTGGAACAATGTTATATTGCCCTGAAATTTTGCAGAAAATCACAAAACTGACATATGTAAATGTATCTTTTAAGCAATGTTACGTCCCTGAAAAAGAGAATGAATTAAGTGTCATGAAGGTTAAAAGATCGTTATATTCACAAATGTTTCCATTAATGACTAAAAACCAGATTAATTCTACAGTGTTCTGTTTTAAACTGATATGAAAATGAAAAGGGACTAAAAAAAGCACAAAAGCCAGATTGAAGCTATAACATGTAATGGGAGCTAGCATTAGGGGTGTGAGAATCTTGCCAATTTGTCCATCCTCCAACGCACCTCTGCATCTCAACCCTCTCCTCATTTTTATGACTCCCACATTGATCCAGTCCTCCAGATAAATTCAGCTGGCCTAGCAGAAATATCACATAAGGATTATTGCACTCAAGATAAAAGAACATCCCCCTATTAAAAAGATTAAATCAACATTCTTTAACCTGCCACTTAAGGCCTTCTGTCGATGTCTCTTCCTTTACCCAGCCACTTTCCTTCAAGGTCACCCTGCTGGACAAGTGGAACAACCTTTTTTTTTTTTTCTTTTTTTTTTGGCAGAGTTTCGCTCTGTCACCCAGGCTGGAGTGCAGTGGCTCTCGGCTTGCTGCAACCTCCACCTCCTGGGTTCAAGCGATTCTCCTGCCTCAGCCTCGCCTCCTGAGTAGCTGGGACTACAGGTGTGTGCCACCATGCCCGGCTAATTTTTTTGTATTTTTAGTAGAGACAGGGTTTCACCATTTTGGCTGGTCTCAAATTCCTGACCTCAAATGATCAGCCCGCCTTGGCCTCCCAAAGTGCTGGGATTACAGGTACGAGGCACTGAGCCCGGCCAGTGGAACCACTTTCTATAGTGTGCCCATACTGGGCCTTGGACATCTTTCCTAGTTTGGTACCTGCTGTTTACTTAACAGCATGCTACTGTGTATCTGTGCCATCTTGTCACACTTGTCTTTGTAATGTTGCCTAACTCTGGCTCTCCAGATTTGTACATTACGACTTTATTGTAAATCAGAGAAGGTCAATAAATTTACTTCTTTCAAATTTCCCCCATGGTCAAGGACTTCGTATGTCTTCACTAAATGCTTATTAAGCCTCTAAAACAATGGAATTTAGATAAAGCTGGTAGGAATAAAAAGTGAACATTGGTATAAAAAACAGCAGTGAAATATACTAATGTGGCAATGAGATGCTCTTCAAGAATTTGGAGAAAAATACAGAAAATAAGAGGGTAAGTAAAGTCTGTACACTTAGTATAAAATCTCCAGTCACCTCTACTAGTCCAGGTAGAAGACTGGAGAATTTTTTTCTGAACGTCTCCAGGGCAAGATGCCTTCAAAGATGGGCATTTGGGGTTCCCCAGTGAAATTGTCAGTTTGCCATTCGGTTGCTCTGTGGCAAAGCCTACCAGTTATAATCGCCACCCATGCACACAGAGCCTACCATCCATTCTGTAATGTGTTATTTTTAAATGTCAATGAACATATAAGGATCCATAGGTATTTGAGGAAAGCCTCTAGCATGAATTAGAAAGACCTAAACCAGCAAACAAATGGGAGAAAAACAACTTAGAGAAAACAGAGCCCATACAGGAAACAAGAAAACATCAAAAAGCAACTATCTAAAAATTACTAGATGATGTTACAACTACGAAACAAGAGCAAAAATCAAAAAAGGGGTTTTCAAATTTAAAATGATAGCAACATTTTAAAACAAATTACTAGAAAATTAAAAGATAAATACTTTCTCAGAAAGTATAACAAAACAAGACAAAGAGGTGGAAAATAGAAAATTATTTAAAAATTGGAGAATCAATCTAAGAAAAATGTAGAAATGGAAATGCAGACGCAATGGCAGGGACCACTTGACTCTCGTCATGAGTGAAGGTGTCTTTGTGCTCCTAGGTCACTTTAATGAGTGTACAGATAATTGGCAGGGAGGAGGATCTTTGTAAAATGAAGATTCTAATTCAGCAGGTTGGCAGTAGCACCTGAGATTTTGCATTTCTGACACGCTCCTGAGTGACGCCTGTGCTGGGTCTGTGGACCACACTTGGAGTAGCAAGGTTCTAGTCTACGCCATCTCTACATCTTCCCCACTCCCATCTTAGATGGTTAAACCACTTGCAGAGAGTGAGGCCTGTGAAGCAGCAGAGTGGTTGATATTCCTTAGAGCTCTATGTATCCAAATCTGAACTATCTTTCCTCCAAAATCTTCTTCCCCTGATTATTCTCTTACTCAATTAATGACATCTCTTTCCTTCCAATTCCAATTTTCCAAGCAAGAAACCTCTGTTCTTTTTTTTTTTTTTTTTTTTTTGAGACAGAGTCTCCCTCTGTTGCCCAGGCTGGAGTGCAGTAGTGCATAGTGCAATCATGGTTCACTGCAGCTTCCGCCTCCCAGGTTCAAGTGATTCTCCTGCCTCAGCCTCCTGAGTAGCTGGGACTACAGGTGCCCGCCACCACGCCTAGCTAATTTTTGTATTTTTAGTAGAGACAGGGTTTCACCATGTTGGCCAGGCTGATCTTGAACTCCCGACCTCAAGTGATCTGCCTGCCTCGGCCTCCCAAAGTGTCAGGATTACAGACATGAGCCACTGCACCCGGCCAACTTCCCCCTCTAATAGTTCTAATGAAATATTAACTACCCAAGTATTTCTGTAGCCTGTTTTCTGAATATCTTTCTCACTGTCTCCTCATCTGACTGTCCATTGCCTTAAGGCTCCCCAGGTCACATCTCTTTAAGTGTACTCTAGGCGGGCCGATCATGAGGTCAGGAGTTCGAAACCACCCTGGCCAACATGGTGAAACCCCGTCTCTAATAATAATACAAAAATTAGCCGGGTGTGGTGGTGTGTGCCTGCAATCCCAGCTACTCAGGAGGTGGAGGCAGGAGAATTGCCTGAACCCAGGAGGCAGAGGTTGCAGTAAGCCGAGATCACGCCACTGCACTCCAGCCTGGGTGACAGAGTGAGACTCCATCTGCGGGGGGAAACATGTACTCTAACCTCCTTACCAACTCTGGGTCTCAGACATGGCTCCACAGGGTTGCTTGTAAAATGCAAACATGACCATGTTAATCTCTTCCCTAAGAGACTCTCATAATTCTGCAGTATTAAAAGTAAATAAAATCTAAGCTCATTAAAATGATATTTCAAAGTCCTTCTTGATTTGGCTTCCTGTTCATTTTTAAAACTTCATCTCCCACATATAGACACTGCTGTAGCCCTGCTGAGCTACTTTCTACTGAAAAGCTTTGTATACACCATTACTCTGCCTGAAACTCCTCACTCTACTATTCTACCTGGGAACTACTCAGATGGACTCCTGGGAAGCCTGCATTCCCCTTCCAGGCAGAGTTAATTCTCTCCTCCATTGTTCTCCAATAAAGGTCTCTCTCTCTCTCTCTCTCTCTCTCTCTCCCTCCCCCTCCCCCAACCTCTGTTTTTGTCCTTAGCCATATTCTGATTACCATGACCCCTTCTTAACCTTAAATTCCCCTCATATGAAATTCTAGTATACTGGGATTAACTTTCATGTATGTTTTTGATGACCACAGGAATTTTTATTTGTGAAGTCTGTGGGAATTATTTAAAGGAGGAGCAAAGAACTGAGCATTCAGAATATAAAGGGAGGAGAAGTGAATGTCACAGAAGGAGAAAAGGTTGCACAGAGATATCTTGAAAAACATAAAAAACAGGAGAAAGGAGTAGTTCATTCTGATTCTTACAACCACCTTCAGGTGGTTTTGGAAGGAGGGAGGGAGGGAGAGAAGGGAGCTAAGACTTCAGTGAGAAAGGCTGTGGAGCCAGGATGAGGAAGAAAGAGAAAGGTGAGACCATGCGACAGGACCGGAGCAGAAGTCAGCAGGTCATGAATTATGGATGAGCAGTACACTGAACATTTGGATACCACCCTCATTCCATGTACCATGTATGGTATCAGCAACAATGCAAAATACATTTGCATGTGTCTTGCTGAAGAAGTCAAAGAGAGTAAAGGCTGATGAGTGGAAATCAACAGTACAGCAGACACCATTATAAACTTAAAGTCTACAACATGCCATTAATGTTATCAGTGTTCTGACCTAAGGGTTTTATTTATTTTTTATTATTTTATTTTATTTTTATTTTTTGAGACAGAGTCTCACTCTGTCACCCAGGCTGGAGGGCAGTGGCATGATCTCAGCTCACTGCAAGCTCCGCTTCCCGGGTTCAAGCCATTCTCCTGCCTCAGCCTCCTGAGTAGCTGGTACTACAGGCGCCCACCACCACGCCCAGCTGATTTTTTGTATTTTTAGTACAGACGGGGTTTCACCGTGTTAGCCAGGATGGTCTCCATCTCCTGACCTCGTGATCCACCCGCCTCGGCCTCCCAAAGTGCTGGGATTACAGGTTTGAGCCACCGCGCCGGGCCCTAAGGGTTTTATTTTAATGAATGCGTACAAATGTGCATAAGGGTTCCTTAGGTAAACTCTCCAACTAGGTGCCCTCCTCCAAACACTGAGCAGCCCCCAGAGCAGATCCTCCCTGTCCGAGGGCTCCATTGCTAGCACCCCATATAAAAGCTTCCTCACCCTGGTTACTCAGTTCCACTCAAGGATGATACCGTTTCTTTTGGATTGCCTGCTCTTCAAAACTCTTGGATTTAAATGGAATCTTGCTCTCCACCCACCAATGTGGAGTTGTTCTGTGCTTCCTGGAGTCACCTTGCCTTGTTCTTAGACATCAGTTACCTTTGCCTCACACCTTTAACTCCAGGTCAGCAATCGTCTTCCTCACTCAAAGTCCCCAATTCATCTCTCTGCTCTGAAATCCTCTTTTATAGGAGAAATGATCAGACACCCTTGCTTCTCCTTGTACCCAAGATTATAAAGACAGCTGTGAATTCTTTTTGTCATTTTTTCTTTTAAGGAATCTAAACCCAAGAGAGGATACAGGAGGGTGAGGATTATTATATTTCTTTACATGATATTGATAACAGCTTATATTTAATGAACACTTATTTTGTGCCAGTAACCTAATGTGCTAAACATTTTACATAACTTCAGTGCTGTTATTATCTGTCTGCTGATGAAAAAACAAGGTTCCATGGTCAGTAAGTGATGGAGTCAGACTTTGAACGCACATAAATGAGCTTCAGGCCCGTGTTCTTAACCTTCAACCATGTGGTCTTCCCTAGACTGGAGGCTTCAGAGGGAAGAATCTGCAATTTACTACATTTCGTGTTCCTATCATCTTATAGATGGCTAATATGTAAAGGGCACATGCAGAATATTAGGGGAATGCATTCTAGATTAGGGAAGAGACAGGAGTTTTACTAGTCAATGAAAGATAGAATTTCAGGTCTATAGAATGTTTACCTTGGGAGAGGAGAAGAAGAGAGGTTATCTACCATATAGATCTGAAGGTCATAGATTCTAAAACTACTTTAATTCATCTTTCCTGAAGTATTTCTGAATAGAGTAAGTAAACAGAATGAGTGCCAATCCCTTGGAAACAGCAATTGATTTTTATATTGCTTTTCACAGAGTCAACATATGCAGACAGTCTGACTTGCCTATTGATCTGAGCTAGAGTTGAGTGAATGAGCTGGATGTAAAATTCCCTAACTCATCACTAAAAGTCAGTCAGACCTTGAACGACGGTTACTTTCTTTTTTTTTTCTAACATGGGTGACAATGAGCAATTGAATGCTTAGATTGGGAGCTGAGAGATTATCTTTACTTTGTTGAGTAATAAACACATTAATTAACAAAACAGGAAAATCCTGTCAAAGAGGAAGTCCTTATTAAGATCATGCTGGAGGCCTTTTCTATTGCACTGGAAAGATTAGCTGAGTTCAGTGGTCTTTAAGAAAGTATAATCATGAAAATAGTTACGTCCAGAGCTCAGAGAGTTTGAATTATCCTTTTGATTGGAAGATTCTAGCCCAGACTATTTTATCCTATTCTAAACTTGCCAAAAATTTCATATTGTCAAACTTTCCCTCCACCCCATGCCAAGTTGTTAAGCTTTCAAATAAACAAATTTATTATGATAAATTTCATCTCTATTGATGTAAAGGCTATTGGATATCTTTTCTTAGCATTTAGTTTAATACCAAATTAATATTTTGTATCATCCTGATATATGAAGACATTTACAAATATAGAAGAGAAATAATTTTAATCAGTTTTATTGTGCTGTAATTTACATCTGCCAAAGATTATCTATTTTAACTATACAGCTTTATGAGTTTTGACAAATTTATACAGTCATGCAACCACAATCACAATCATGATACAGAACATTTTCATCACCCTTAAATATTCCCTCATGCCTCCTTGCGATCAATCTCCTCCCCAACCCCTGGCCTCTGATTTGTTGTCTATCAATCAGTGTAGTTTTGGCTTTTTTAGATTTTCATATGGAATCATGTGATATAGAATCACTTAGGAAGTAGTCTTTTGTGTCTTATTGTTGTCCTTGAAAAATATTTTTAAGCAAGCAAAATGACTTGCCACAGGTTGGCAGAAAAATATTTGCAAAATACGTATTTGAAAATTCTTGTATCTAGAATATATGAGCTCTTACAATCAATAAAAGACAAACAACAAAATTTTAAAAAATAGGCAAAATATCTAAACAGACAGTTCACCGAAGAAGATAAACAAATGGCAAATATACATAAAAAGATGCCCAACATCTTTGGTCATTAGGGAAATATAAATTAAAATTGTAATGAGATACCTATGTTGACACAAAGACCTGTTCACAAATGTTCATAACAGCTTTATTTATAATAGTCCCAAACTGGAAATAACTCAAGTGTTTATCAACTGATGAGTAGAGAAGCAAACTGTGGGATAGCCATATGATGAAATACTACTCAATAATAAAAGGGAACCAATTAATGATATACACTACAGCACAGATGAATTACAAAAGCATTATGTTGAGTGAAAGAAGCAGATACAAGAGACATATAGAAGAAATTGGGAAGGTTTAAAAAAAATTTTTAAAAGCAGTGACTATTTGAGTATCACAAGTAAAGTTTTTTTTTGTTTTGTTTTGTTTTTGAGACGGCATCTCGCTCTGTCCCCCAGGCTGGAGTGCAGTGGCATGATCTCAGCTCACTGCAAGCTCCGCCTCCCGGGTTCACGCCATTCTCCTGCCTCAGCCTCCCGAGTA